>NC_000024.10:4540766-4841176 GCF_000001405.40 Homo sapiens | reverse complement strand
AATGTGAAAGGGCCATGAGATTTGGGAGAGGCTGGGGGTGAAATAACGTGGTTAGGGTTTGTCCTCCCACCCAACTCTCATCTTGAATTGTAATCCACATAATCTCCATGTGTCAAAGGAGAGGCCAAGTGGAGATAATTGAATCACAGGGGTGGTCTCCACCATGCTGTTCTCTTGATAGTGAGTTTTACAAGGGAGTCTTGTTTCATAAGGGGCTCTTCATCATTTTCTCAGCTCTTCTCCTTCCTGCTGCCTTGTGATGAAAGTGCCTTGCTTCCCCCTCATCTTCTGCCATGATTGTAAGTTTCCTGAGGTCTCCCCAGCCATGTTGAATTGTGAGTCAATTAAATCTCCTTTTTAAAATAAATTACCCAGTCTCAGTCAGTTCTTTATGCCAATATGAAAATGGACTAATGCACCATTATTTAATTCCAGAGAATTTTCATAGAAAATATTGTACCCATTAGCAGTTACTCCCCATTCCCTCCTTCCCCCAGCCACTGAAAACCACTAATGTACTTTCTGTCTCTAAGGATATTCCTACTCTGAACATTTCATTTGAATGTCATAATACAATATAGGATCTGTTTGTGCCTGGCTTCTCTTGCATAGCATAATGTTGCCAAGGTTCATACATGTTATAATATGTACTTCATTAATTTAAAAATTCTAAACAATATTCCATTGCATTGATATTCTGCATTTTAATTTCCCATTTATCAGTTGATGGATATTAGGCTTTTATTCACTTTTTAACTATTATGAATAATGCTGATATTAATGTTCATGCACAAGTTTTTGTGTTGACTTACATTTTTAGTTCTTTGGGGTATATATCTAAAATTCAAATTGTGTGGTCATATGTAATTCTATGGTTAACTTTTTGAAGAACTACCATACTCTTTTCCACAGCCCAAATGAGTTCTGCAAATGATATAATACTTCGGACATAGATTCCTAAAATAGCTCCCCAAATTCATAACAATGAAATTTTTTAAAACCCTACTGTTTTTCTTTTTTTATAAGGTGAATGCCCAGGTGTAGCTTAATGGATTGACTGATAAGTGAGTATTCCATGCACTGGTAAAAATATTAACCAAACAGCCATTGCAATTTGATGATTCAAACTGATGCAAGGAAAGAGAAACCTCTAGAGGATATCTGCTTATTTTCCTATTACACCATGACATTTTCTGTTTTGTTTTGCAGTTTTAATTGAAAGGTGGATGCTACCTTAAATAAGTATCAATATACACTCAAAAATCTGTATCAACTCAGTTACTATTACCGTCTGTCTTTAAAAGTTATGTGTTTAAAAGTCAGTATTACTTTGTGACACTTATTAATAGAAAAACTATATTGTTTAATTGTACAAAATCAAAGGAAAAAAATTATTGCAAAAAGAATTTATAACTGAGTGGTCTGTGGACTTTAATACTCTTTTCTGTAGTTTTGTCTGAATGACAGTAAAACATTTTTTGTGTGTCACTTCATTTAACAGAATTTCTTTTAAAGTTTGCCAACTAGAAACATTAAATTCTGTAGTAACAGATACCTCTGACTTTGTATTAATTGGGACTAATACTGTTAAAGGATTGGTAGTTAAGTGACTTACCCAAGATATCAAAGCTAATAAGCTAAAAGAAAAACTTGAACTCATTCCTTTATATAGAGACGTAGACTTGGATTTTTTTTTTTTTTTTTTGAAGAGGATGGTTTGGAGAAGGGATTAAGACCAATTATGCTGGAGCATTAAAGACAGACAAGAATAGCTGTGATAGTACCTGAAATGATTCTCATAAGTTAAAGTATGTCTGAGACTGAAGTCTATTTATTTGAAGGATATAGAGAATGTGAGCTTTGAGTGGATTTGGGTATTTTATTCTTTTTCCCTTCTAGTTGTTTTAAGCCAAATTGAAAGTATTAATATGCACCGTGATCAACTGGCCAATGTGGTTTGCCATATACACTTATATTACAGTTGAACTGAAAACTATAGGAGTAGGAAGAAAAATGTGAATTAACTAATATTAAAGGCAATGTTAGGGAGGACATCAAACTACACAATTGGATGAGATATGGAGGAAGAGGAAACAAATGTATCCCACATTCAAAACTCTCCTTACTCTGATAATCTGCCCTCAAGTGTTAACGGGGGAAATTTCAAGTTATATATGAATAACAAACAGATTCTATGCATTATCAATAAGTACATAAAAGGCAGTTTCAAAGTCTGACATTTTCAGAGCCATTCTTTATTAGAGTTCATTTGACGGAAAGGAACCCTTTCTAGGATATTATCTTGTCAGGTATTATCATTGCATGGCATTGTCTGCCTACTCCCAAGTATCTCTTACTGCAATGTTACAATAAGATGTGTTTTAGCTTTGAAAAATAGCAGACCATTTCTTATTAGATTTCCCTGAAAAGGAAGTTTAAGGTAGGGACATGATTCAATTATAGTGAAGTCATTTTCTTGGTATATTTCTGCTTACTTTTTAAGAACAAGATGTCTCATCATAAAAAAGATAGGTAAATGGGATGATGAACATGTTAATGACTTCAATTTAATAATTCCACATTATATACATATATCAAAACATTATATTGTACACAACGAATGTATATAATTATGATTTGTCAATTAAAAATAATAATTTAAACAAAAAAAGAGAGAACAATATGACTAGAATGTAAGCTTCTTTGAGGAAAGGTTTTTATTTTTCTTCTCTTTTACTCACTACTAGATCTCCTGCACCTGTAACAGTGTCTGGCACATGGTACATACTGAGTATATATAAACCTGTCAAATAAATTGTTCAATGGCTAATAGATCATAAAAATATGAAGATTGACTTTTGTTCTGAAATATTTCTAGAATCAGTCATTGAAAAATCAAGATTCCTGATAGGAAGAAAATATCATACTTTTTCCTAAAAATGTAAATGCAGGTAAAATGAGCTAGAATTATGCCAAGGATATTTACTTTTGTAAATAAATTAGGGAACAGTCAAAACAAGATCTGAATTTTAATAATCACTATTTTAGGTCGCAAAGGTCTGACAGTTAAGTTCTTCACATGAATTAGTGAGGGGAAGGAACGTTGCTTTTATCAAGGCCAATACTGTTGTAAGTTTTTATTCTTTGATTCATGCTAAACATTTTTTAGTTGGTTTACTTGATTTTGGATTGCACCTCTGAGAACAAATGTCTATGGGCTACCTGGGTTTCTTATATTTTGAGGATTTTTTGTGGATTTGGCAGTTTCTCCCTATTTGGTCTTTTCATTCCCAACAGTAACAACTTAAACCATCTTCAAATAATGTTGATTTCAATAGAATTTCAAATAAATACAACTTAAGGAATTTTTTTCCAAAAGGAGCTCTCATTGTTTGGGGAGTAGAGGTTTTCATTTAAAAGAGCATATTTTAATAACCTTTATGTTTTGGAATAATTTTATATTTACAAAAAAAGTTACAAGGCTGGTACAGAGTTTCTACATGCCCCTTAACCATTTTCCTCGATTGTTAATTTTTTATATCACGATGGTACATTTGTAAAAACTAAGAAATTGACACTGGAACATTACTATTAGCTAAATGATGCGATGTTTTAATAATTCAACTTAGCTATTTTGATGGATAGAAAATGATTTTGAAGATAAAGCCTTCAAAACTAAATGACTAGAAATTCATTAATGATTAACACATTGATTGGGTATGCTTTTAATAGAAACTCTCCTTTAAAACAAATTAAATGCAACTATCCAGCTTTATATTACAAAAACTGCTACAGGATCCACAGGCAGGGTGACTAATACATTTTAAAATATATAAATTCTTTGAGGTATTGAGTTTATTTTCCCTTTAATTATATATAGTTGGCAATATTTTGTAGATTTTAACTTAATGGCAGCATTTTTTTTTTCCTTGTAAATTTTGGAGTTTGAGGATGAACCAACTGATTTTGTTGCTATTTATGTTTAAGAACTAGTCTAGGAAGTCCATCACTGCTCAGTAGCCATAATCCTTGTCCTTAGAGCTAAGACTGGGCTATGACGGTATAATGATTACAAATCCAAAGTTTGCAAGCTGCTTTAAGAAGGATTGTAATAGCCTTCACTTTTTCTGCCAACTGAAAGGATTTATCTTTGTATATCAAAAAGACTGGTTTCTAAAACAGCATATATAAATTTGAGAAAAGTAACAGTCTCTAATACCTACAATGGTTAAAAATGTCTACCAGATAAAACACGAGTGTAAATAACCCACGTTTGTTCTGTTGTATAACGCACTTTAGGATTCTTTATTAAAAACGTGCAATGTTGTCATATCAATTTTTTTCAGAGCGAAGGATCTTTTAAAAAACATTTTAATTGATACATAATAATTGTACATATTTACAGGGTGCATGTGATATTTTGATACGTGCATACAAGGTGTAGTGATCAAATTAGGGTATTTAGGATATCTATTACTTTGAACATTTATTATTTCTTTGTGTTGGGAAAATTTAGAATATTTTCTTCTAGCTATTTTGAAATATACAGTATAGTGTCAATAACTATAGTCCCCCTACTATGTTGTAGAAGCACGAGAACTTACTCCTTTTATCTAGCTGTATATTTGTGACTATTAAGCAACTTCTCTTCAACATCTCCCACCCTTCCAAGTCTTTGGTAAACTATCATTCTACCTTCATGAGATCTGCTCTTTTAGCTCCCACATATGAGTGAGAAACATGCAATATTTGTCTTTCTGTGCCTGGCTTATTTCCCTTAACATAATGACCTCCAGTTCCATCCATGTTCCTGCAAGTGACAGGATTTCTTTTTTTAATGGCTAAACAGTATTCCATTCCGTATATATACACCACACTTTCTTTACCGTTCACTTGTTGATGGACACTTAGGTTAATTTTATATCTTTGCTATTGTGAATAGTGCTGCAATAAACATATGATTGCAAGTGTCCCTTTTATAAACTGATTTTCTTTCCTAGTAATAGGATTACTGGAATGTACGGTAGTTCTATTTTTAGTTTTTTGAGAAATCGTTATACTGTTTCCCACAATGACTATACTAATTTGCTTACCCAGGAACAGTATATCCTTGTATATCCTCCACATCCTTGCCAGCATCTGCTATTTTTGTCTTTTTGATAATAGCCATTCTAACTGGGATAAGATGATATCTCACTGTGAATTTAATTTGCATTTCCTCAATCATTAGTGAGGTTGACCATTTTTTCATATACTTGTTGGCCATTTGTATGTCTTCTTTTGAGAAATATCTATTCGTGCACTTTGCTTACTTTTTAAATTGGATTTTTTTGTGTGTTGAGTTCCCTGTAAAATTTTAATACTAGTCTCTTGTTAGATGAATATTTAAAAAATATTTTCTACCATTCAACAGATTAGTTGTCTCTTCCCTCTGTTGATTATGTCCTTAGCAATGCAGAAACTTTTTAGTGTAAGTCCCATTTGTCTATTTTTGTTTTTGTTGCATGTCTTTTTGAAGACTTAATCATAAATTGTTTGCTTAGGCCAATGTCAAGAAGAGTTTTATTTAAGTTTTCTTCTAGGATTTTGATAGTTTCTAGTCTCGTGTTTAAGTCACATTTGAAAACAATATATTTGTAATAGCTTGTACACAGTTGAATTAATAAACATGATTCTGTTTTTTGATCATCTTTTCATTTGGAAAAAACTATTGCCACTGCTAAATTGCAGTTCAGCTGTTAGTATCTTCTAAAGGACTTGTAAGAGCAGTCACAGTATGCAATAACTGTTAGATGGAGTAAAAATAAAACAAAGATACACATACTTTGAAAACGAGAACAAATTCTTCATCATACCATTAATAGTATTACAAAAAAAATAAGATTCAGGCTCTCCAATGTGTTTAAGAAGAAATACACGTGTTTCAAATTTTACTCTGGCTTTTGGGTGTTGAGATTCTCTTTGCTTAAGTTGCCTTCTTGTTGCTGTATGCTTTTCTTCTGTTAGAGGCAACATATGGTTTTAAATTACTTGTGAAACACTCAATGAGCTTCCTGACTCCCTACTTATACAGAGGGAATTCATTGTATTTTAGTGATAATTGGATTTTCCTCGTTTTTTTTCCACACAGTGGTTATTTCTAGCTTTCATTTTTTAATTGTTTAGAGATGACAATTTTATTTAAACATAACCAAGAGTACTCATTACATTTAAAATAATGGGAAATGTTTGTCATTTTACATTAAGTGCCTCTGAGAGGAACAAGAAAGGAATTTAATAGCCACATGAGAAACTGTAAACACACACACACACACACACACACACACACATGCACACACACAATTTTGTGGTTATTTAGGGACTATAAATACTTATATACCATAGATAAGTTTGTCTTATTTATAGGTTGTATTGGAAATTTTAAAATGTTTTTTCATAAGTGCTTAAATGTTTCATACAATATGTAAGATTGAAACTATGTGAACAATCCATTTGGTATCAAAAATAAAAGATATTCTGACTCCAATGAAGTTTAACAAAACTAAATTATGTTATGCCATATAAGTCAACATAAACACAATTAATTCTACTTTCTCTAATATTGGTTTTTTAAATATACTGTTACCCTGTTATAAGCTTGTGTGAACTTCTGCAACATTTTAATTTAAAATCCAGATGTTTCTATGAATGCTGCAATAGAAGCAATCAGTTAATTATCTGATAAAGATTAAAGGAGACATGCAGTACAAAATTCAATTAAATTGCATACAATTACTTAATATGTTGAGAGCTGTTTCTACAGGCAACCAAAATTAAAATTATGCGTCACTAGGGAAATACTGTTTTATTTTCCCTGTCTGTATTTCCTATTGACTTACAGAGATTTTGCTCTATTTTAATGTGATCTCTTCCCATCTGCCCTATAAAGCTATTGCTATAATCATCCTCTTAGTTATTTTACTACAGTACTTGCCCTGGTGGTTTTATTAGTTCAGAGGCAAATGTTTAATCATCAGGATATTGCTAAATAAGTGTAATTACCAACATTGAAGAAGATGACAGAGCTACACATAAGTCCTGTTTATGTCTCTGTTTAATTGAACACCCATATATTTTAGACACAAATGAGACTACTTAATTCTCCAGTGAAGATGCTTCTTGCTCTGTATACTCTGCCTATCTAAAAGAAAATGATGAATACTAGATTTTAGCTTCTTACTTCTATTGTTTTCCATTTCCAGCCTGTGATAAAAGGAGAAAAAATATGCATAGTGTTAATTTTCTAGGTAGAATGGTCTACAGGCAGTTGTGTAAGTGCAGAAGTATTTTCTTAATAGGATTCCTTGTTTGCAGAGACATTGAAAAGTCTACCAGCCAAAGTACACACTCTAAACTATAAAAGATGACAAGTACCCCTGAGGAATATAATTAGGAAGGGAAATAGGGCCTCAGGGAATTTCATTCTTTTACATATTTCTGAATTTTTAGAAATTGTTGCAATGAATATATCGTTTACAATGTTTTTATTTTTAAAATCAAAACAACAAAGGTTTTCATAGTCACAAAATTTCACTCTCCGTCAGATGTAGCCTACATGGTGTCTTACTTGTTTGGCTTTTCCATACTTTCCATCTCCACTCTGTCTGCATTTGCCAATAACCATATTTTAAAATGCATTTTCCAATAACCGTATTTCTGCCAAATTAATAATATGTACTTTTAGGTTAATCTGATAAAATAATCAGAATAGTCAAGAGTGAAGAATGTGTGGTGAAATATTTGATAATTCCAATCAAACCATGTAAGTACCCATTTATTTTTTTGGCTGTCTCTAAGGATAGCCTTGGTACTATGCTTCAGTAACTTTATGGAAAAACAACATCATATGACCAGCAGATATTTCAATAGAAAATTTATTTTATTTAATTATTTAATTATTTTTATTTTTAAAGTTCTGAGGTACATGCGCAGAATGTGCAGGTTTGCTACATAAGTAAATGTGTGCCATGGTGGTTTGGTGCACCTATCAACCCATTACCTAGGTATTAAGTGCAGCATGCATGAGCTATTTTTCCTAATGCTCTCTCTCCCCCTACCCCACCCCCTGACAAGCCCCAGTGAGTGTTGTTCCCTTCCTTGTGTCCATGTGTTCTCATTTTTCAGCTTCCACTTATAAGTGAGAATATGCGATGTTTGGTTTTCTGTTCCTGCATTAGCTTGCTGAGGATAATGGCTTCCAGCTCCATCCATGTCTGTGCAAATGACATGATCTCATTCCTTTTTATGGCTGCATGGCATTCCATGGTGTATATGTACCGTTTTCTTTATCCAGTCTATCATTGACGGGCATTTGGGTTGATTCTATGTCTTCGTTATAGTGAATAGTGCTGCAATGAACATACACATATATTTATCTTTGTAATAGAATGATTTATATTCCTTTGGGTATATACCCAGTAATGAGATTGCCAGGTCAAGTGGTATTTCTGGTTTTATATCTTTGAGGAATCATCACACTGTTGTCCACAATGGTTGAACTAATTTACATTCCAACAACAGTGTAAGAGTGTTCCTATTTCTCTGCAACCATGCTAGCATCTGCTGTTTCTTGACTTTTTTAATAATTGCCATTCTGACTCGTGTGAGATGGTAACTCATTGTGATTTTGATTTGCATTTCTCTAAGCATCAGTGATGTTGAGCTTTTTTTCATATGTTTGTTGGACACATGAATGTCTTCTTTTGAGAAATGTCTTTTCATGATACTTGCCCACTTTTTAGTGGGGTTGTTCATTATTTATTTGTAAATTTGTTTAAATTCTTTATAGATTCTGGATATTAGACCTTTGTCAGATGGACGGATTGCAAAAATTTTATTCAACTCTGTAGGTTGTTTGTTCACTCTGATATCAGTTTATTTTGCTGTGCAGAAGGTCTTTATTTAATTAGACCCCATTTGTCGAGTTTTGCTTTTATTGCAGTGGCTTTTGGTGACTTTGTCATGTAATCTTTGCCTGTTCCTATGTTCTAAATGGTACTGCCTAGATTTTTTCCCAAGGTTTTTATAGTTTTGGGTTTTATATTTAAGTCTTTAATCCACTTTGAGTTAATTTTGGTATAAGGTGTAAAGAAGGGTGGGTCCAGTTTCAATTTTCTGCATATGGCTAGCCAGTTCTCCCAGCAACATTTATTAAATAGTGAATCTTCTCTCCATTGCTTGTTTTTGTTAGATTTGCCAAAGATCAGATGGTCGTAGGTGTGCAGTCTTATTTCTCAGTTCTCTATTCTGTTCCTTTGGTCTATGTGTCTGTTTTTGTACCAGTACCATGCTGTTTTGGTTACTGTAGCCCTGCAGTATAGTTTGAAGTCTAGTAGTGTGATGCCTCCAGCTTTGTTCTTTTTGCTTAGGATTGTCTTTCCTATATGAGTTCCTTTATGGTTCCATAGGAATTTTAAAATCATTTTTCCTAATTCTGCGAAGGATGCCAATGGCAGTTTAATGAGAATAACATTGAAACTATAAATTACTTTGGGCAGTATGGCCATTTTCATCATATTGGTTCTTCTTATACATGAGCATGGAATGTTCTTCCATTTGTTTGTGTCCTCTCTGATTTCCTTGAGCAGTCGTTTGTAGTTCTCCTTTAAGAGGTCGCTCACTTCCCTTGTTAGCTGTATTCCTAGGTATTCTCTTTGTAGCAATTGGGAATGGGAGTTCATTCATGATTTGGGTCTCTGTTTGCCTCTTGTTGGTGTATAGGAAGGCTTATGACTTTTGCACATTGATTTTGTTTCCTGAGACTTTGCTGAAGTTTCTTCTCAGCATAAATACCTTTTGGGCTGAGACGATGGGGTTTTCTAGATATAGGATAATGTCATCTGCAAACAAAGACAATTTGACTTCCTCTCTTCTTATTTGAATACCCGTTATTTTCTTCTGTTGCCTGATTGCCCTGGCCAGAACTTTCAATACTGCGTTGAATAGGAGTGGTAAGGGAGGGCATCCTTGTTTACAGCCAGTTTTCAAGGAAAGTGCTTCCAGCTTTTGCCAATTCAGTATGATTTAGGCTATGGGTTTGTCATAAATGGCTCATATTATTTTAATGTATGTTCCTTCAATACCTAGTTTATTGAGAATTTTTAACATGAAGGGATGTTGAATTTTATCAAGGGCCTTTTCTGCATCTATTGAGATAATCATGTGGGTTTTGTCTTTAGATCTGTTTATGTAATGAATTATGTTTATTGATTTGCATATGTTGAACCAGCCTTTCATCCCAGGGATGAAGCCAACTTGATCATGGTGAAGAAGCTTTTTGATGTGCTTTTGTATTTGGTTTGCCAGTATTTTATTGAGAATGTTTGCATCAATATTCAACAGGGATATATTGGCTTGAAGTTTTTGTTGTTGTTATTGATATTATTGTATCTCTGCCAGGTTTTGGTATCAGTATGATGCTGGCCTCATAGAATGAGTTAGTGAGGAGTCCCTCCTTTTCAATTGTTTGGAATATTTTCAGAAAAAGGAATATCAGCTCCTCTTTGTACTTCTGGTAGAATTTAGCCTTAAATCCATCTGGTCCTGAGGTGTTTTTATTGTTTTATTTATTTATTTTTTTTGTAGGCTATTTGTTACTGCCTCAATTTCAGAACTTGTTATTGATTTATTCAGGGATTCAACTTCTTCCTGGTTCCATCTTTGGAGGGTGTATGTGTCCAGGAATTCATCAATTTATTCTAGATTTTCTAGTTTATTTGCATAGAGGTGTTTATAGTATTCTCTGATGGTTGTTTGTATTTCTGTAGGGTCAGTGTTGATATCCCCTTTATCATTTTTTATTGTGTCTTTTTTGATTTTTCATTCTTTTTTCTTTATTAGTCTAGCTACAGGCCTATCTATTTTATTATTTTTTTTTTCCAAAAAAAGAGCTCCTGGATTCATTAGATTTTTGTGTCTCTATCTCCTTCAGTTCCACTCTGAGCTTGGTTATTTCTTGTCTTCTGCTAGCTTGGGGATTTATTTGCTTTTGTTTCTCTAGTTTCATTAGTTGTGATGTTAGGGTGTTGATTTGAGATGTTTCTAGCTTTTTGATGTGGTCATTTAGTGTTATAAATTTCCCTCTTAATTCTGCTTCAGCTGCCTCCTAGAGATTCTGGTATGCTGTCTCTTTGTTTTCATTGGTTTCAAAGAACTTCTTGATTTTGTCTTTAATTTCATTATTTACCCAGAAGACCTTCAGAAGGAGGTTGTCCAATTTCCATGTAGTTTTGTGGTCTTGAGTGAGTTTCTTAATCTTGAGTTCTAATTAGATTGTGCAGTGGTCTAAGACACCATTTGTTAATATTTCAGTTATTTTGCATTTGCTGAGGAGTGATTTACTTCCAATTATTTGATCAGTTGTAGAGTAAGTGCCATGTGGCTCCAAGAAGAATGTATATTCTGTTGTTTTGGGGTAGAGAGTTCTGTAGATATCTATCAGGTCCACTTGATTCAGAGCTGAATTCAAGTACAAGATATCTTTGTTAATTTTCTGTCTCAATGATCTGTGTAATATTGACAGTGGGGTGTTAAATTCTCCCAATATTATTGTGTGGTAGTCTTAGTCTCTCTGTGGGCCTCTAAGAACTTGTTTTATGAATCTCAGTGCTCCTAAATTGAATACGTATGTATTTAGGATAGTTAGCTCTTCTTATTGAGTTGATCCTTTTACCATTACATAACACCTTTCTTTTTTTTTTTTTTATCTTTGTATTTTGATCTTGGTTTAAAGTCTGTTTTGTCAGAATCCAGGATTGCAACCCCTTTTTTTATCTTTTCCATTTGCTTGGTAAATTTTCCTCCATCCTTTTATTTTAAGCCTATGTGTGTCTTTGCACGTGAGATGGGTCTCCTGAATACAGCACAACAATGGATCTTGACTGTTCATCCAGCTTGCCATTCTTTCTCATTTTCATGGGTTTATCTATCTTTGATCTTTGAGGCTGTTGACCTTTGGATGGGGTTTTTGTAGGATCTTTTTCATTGATGTTGTTGCTTTCTGTTTGTTTTGCTTTTATCAGTCAGGTCCCTCTTCCGTAGTGCTGCTGTGGTTTATTGGGGGTCCACTCCAGACCCTATTCACCTGAGCACCTCCCACCACTGAAGGGCAGCTAGAAAGAAGGGCCAGGTTAGTTATAAAGGAAAGCCCATCAGACTAAGAGCAGACCTTTCAGCAGAATCCCTACAAGCCAGAAGAGATTGGGGGCCAATATGCAACATCTTAAAGAAAAGAGTTTCCAACCTGGAATTTTATATCTGGCCAAACTAAGCTTCATAAGCTAAGGAAAAATAAAAATTTTTCAGGCATATAAAAGAGTGCTTTTCAGGGAGAGGCAGCACGATCCCTTACTGTATTCCTTGGCTTGGGGAGGGAGCCCCCTTTGCCCTGTGCAGCTCCCAGGTGGGCCATCACTCCACCCTGCTTTTCCTCGCTCTCCATGGGTCATACCAACTGCCTAGTCTGTCCCAGTGTGATAAACTTGATACCTCAATTGAAGATGCAGAATTCACTCACTGTTTTCATCCTTTTTGGTGGGAGCCAGAGAGCAGAGCTGTTTCTATTTGGCCATCTTGGCTGCTCCCCCTATTTATTTTTAAATGTTTTATTTTTATTTTTTGTGGGCCCACAGTAAGTATATATTTATGTCATGTATGAGATATGTTGAGACAGGCATACAATGTATAATAATCACATCAGAGTAAAAGTTGTATCCATCACCTCAAGCAATTATCCTTTGTAATACAAACAATCCAATTATACTATTTTAGTTATTTTTAAATGTACAATAAATTATTTTGACAATAGGCACCCTGTTGTGCTATCAAATACTAGATCTTACTCATTATTTCTACTATTTGTACCTATTAAAAATCCTGACTTCTTCACCACCCCAGTACCTTTCCCAGCCTCCAGTAAACATCATTCTGCTCTCTATTGCCATGAGTTCAATTGTTTCAGTTTTAGCCTTCACAAATAAGTAAAAACATGTGACATTTGCCTTTCTGTGCCTGGAATATTTCACTTCACAAAATGACCTCCAGTCCCATCCATGTTATTGCAAATGACAGAATCTCATTCATTTTTATAGGTGATTAGCGCTCCATCGTGTCTATGTACCACGTTTCTTCATCCATTCATCTGTTGATGGACAATTAGGATGTTTCCAAATCTTTGAAATTGTGAATAGTGTGGCAACAAACATGGAAGTGTGGATATCCCTTGGATACACTGATTTCATTTCTTTGGGGTATATACCTAGAGGTGGGATTGCTAGATTAAATGGTAGCTCTATTTGTAGTTTTTGGGGGGAACTTTGAAACTGTTCTCCGTAGTGGTTGCAGTAACTTACATTGTGACCAAAAGTGTAAGAAGATTCCCTTTTCTCCACATCCTTACCATCATTTGCTATAGCCTATCTTTTGGATAGAAGCCATTTTAAATGTGGTAAGGCAATATCTCATTGTAGTTTTGATTTGCATTTTTCTAATGATCAATGATGTTGAGTTCTATTTCGTATGCCTGTTTGACATTTGCATATCTTCTTTTGAGAAATGACTATTTAAAACTTTTGCCCATTTTGAAATCAGATTATTGGATTTTTTTCCCTATAGAGTTATTTGAGTTCCTTATATATCCTGGTTATTATCCTTTATTGGATGGGTAGTTTGCACATATTTTCTCCAATTCTGTGGGTTGTTTCTACACTTTGTTGATTGTTTCCTTTGCTGTACAGAAGCTTTCCAACTTGATGTGATCCCATTTGTGCATTTTTGTTTCAGTTGCCTGTGCTTACACGATGTTACTCAATAAATCTTTTCCCAGTCCAACGTACTGCAGAGTTTCCCTAAGGTTTTCTTGTAGTAGTTTCATAGTTTGAGGCCTTGGATTAAAGCCTCTTATTAATTTTAATATGATTTATGTATATGTCAAGAGATAGGGGTCTAGTTTTATACTCTCCATATGGATATCCAGTTTTCAAAGCATCATTTATTGAAGAGACTTTTTCTAAATGTATCTTCTTGGCACCTTTGTCAAAAATCAGTTTGCTGTAAATGTATAAATTTATTTCTGGATTCTCTAATCTGCTCCATTGTTCTATGTGTCTGTTTTTATGCCAGTATAATGCTGTTTTGGTTACTATAGCTCTGTAGTATAATTTGAAGTCATATATGTGATTTCAAATAATCAGATAATATCTTATGAAATAGTCAGAAAATGTGGTGCAAGCACTCCCTTAGCCACCCTGGCTGGTGTCTCACTACGTTGCATCTTCCCCAAGTGCACTGGCTCTGAACCCAGCACAGCACTAAGACTTGCCTATGAGTTGCAGTCCTTGTGGCGTAGACTACTTTTCAAGTTTATTTAAAACTCAGGAGCACTTTTTCCCCCAGTGGCAAGGCTTGATGAAAGTCAAGTTATGACCACTGGGGTGAATAATTCCACTCAGGATAGGGATCATCTCAATGTTCTCTCTGTATTCATCAGCTGACTTCTTCCTGGTGTCAGCAGTGCTGAGTTCCAGTGATAATTCCCACAATTTCTGCACTCTCCCTCACTAAAGCACAGAGATTCTTTCTCCATACCATGCATCCCCTGCCATCATATGAGAGAGTGGTGTTGGCAATTCCAAACTATCTTTCCTACCTTGTTAATGCCTCTTTCAGTGATAAGAAGTTAAAGCCAGGTACTGTGATCACTCAACGAATTTTTGGTTCTTATGTAGGTGTTTTGGGTGTAGACAGTTGTTAAATTTAGTGTCTCTGTGATGAGCATGATTGATGATGGCTTCTATTCTCCCATCTTGCTCTGCCTTTCAGCAGAAAACTTATAGGCCAGAAGAGAATGTGATGATATATTCAAATTGCTGTAATAAAAACAATCTGCCACCCAAGAACACTGTCCATTGGATTATCCATCATAAATGAAAAAGATTTATTCTCTCCCAGGCAAGCAAATGACAAGGGAATTTATTACATTAGACCAGGCCTATAAGAAATGCTCAAGGAGCTCCCAAACCTGGACATGAAAGGATGACGTTTACCATCATGAGAATACACAGAAGTATAAAAGCAGTAACAAAAAAGAGGAAAATAAAGGACTCACATTTTATCACGACAGAAATCCAACTGACCACAATGACAATCTTGTTACAGCTTTTTTAAAACACCGAGGTAATCAGAAGGCTTCCTAACTCATTCTATGTGCCCAGCATCACCCTGATACCAAAACCAGACAAGGAAGTCACAAAAAAGGAAAACTACAGGGCTATGTATTTCTTGAACATGGACACAAAAATACTCACAAAATACTAGTGAATCAAATCCAACAGGACAACAGAAAGACAATACACCACAATCAAGGAGTGTTTATTTCAGGGAGCCAAGGATGTTTCAACATACACAAATCAATAAACATGATACTTCACATCAACAGAATGAAGGAGAAAAGCCATATTATATTCTCAATAGATGTAGAAAAAAGCATTTGATAAAATTCAACATCACTTCATGATAAAAACCCTCAACAAACTAGGCACAGAACTATCAGATTTGATAATAATAAAGGCCATATTTGAAAAACACATAGCTAACATTATTCTGAATGGGGAAAAGTTGAAAGCCTTTTCTCTAAGAACTGGAACAAGACATGGATGCCCAATTTCATCACTCCTACTTAACGTAGTCCTGGAAGTCCTAGTCAGAGGTATCAAGTAAGATAAAGAAATAAAAAGCATCAAAGTTAAAAATGAGAACTTCAAATAGTTTCTCTTTGCTTATTCATTTTTTTTTTATTTTTGAGACAGAGTCTCACTGTGTCACCTAGGCTGAAGTGTGGTGGCATGATCTTGGTTCACTGCAACCTCCAACTCTCGGGTTCAAGGCATTCTCCTCCCGCCTCAGTCTCCCAAGTAGCTAGGATTAAAGGTGCCTGCCATCACACCTGGCTAATTTTTGTATTTTTAGTAGAGATGGGGTTTCACCATGTTGGCTAGGCTGGTCTCAAGCTCTTGACCTCAAGGTATCTGCCCACCTCGTCCTCTCATGTCCTGGGATTATGGTCATGAGCTACCATACCCACCCTCAATAATCTTATAACTAGAAAAATCTAAGGACTTTACCAAAACCTCATGGATGTGATAAATGAATTCAGTAAATTATAGAATATGAAATCAATGTACAAAAATCACTAGCATATCTATACACCAACAATGATCTAGCTGAAAAAGAAATCAAGAAGACAATCCCATTTATAATAGCAACAAAAAATAAAATACCTAGGACCAAATTTAACCAAGGAAGTAAAAAATCTCTACAAGAAAAACTACAAAACACTGATGAAATAAGTTGAAGAAGACACAAACAAATAAAAATTATCTCATTCTCATGGATCAGAAGAATTAACACCATTATAATGACCCTACTGCCCAATGAAATATACAGATTTAATTTAATCACTATGAAAATACCAATGCCATTCTTCACATAATTAGAAAAAAATTCCTAAAATGTATATGGAACAAGTAAGAACCTGAATAGCCAAAGCAATCTTGAGCAGAAAGAAGAAAGCTGAAGGCATCACATCACCTGACTTCAGAATATACTACAAGGCTATAGTTACCAAAACAACATGGCATTGGTATGAAAATAGACACATAGACCAATGGAATAAAATAGATAACCCAGAAATAAATCCAACTGATATATTTACAAAGCCAACAAGAACTTACATTAAGGAAAAAATACCCTCTTTAATAACTAATGCTGAGAAAATTAGATAGCCACATGTAGAAGAAACTGGACTCTTATTTCTCACCATAAAAAAACTACTCTGAATGGATTACAGACTTAAATATAAGACCTGAAACTATCAAAATACTAGAAGAAAACCCAGGAAAAACTTTCCTGAACAAGGAGTTTGTGACAGACTCCAAAGCATATGCAACAGAAAACAAAAATAGTAAAAGTGGTAAATAATTAAAGTAGAAAGCAAATGATATAATCAACAGAGTGAAGAGACAACCAGCTTGTTGAACAGGAGAAAATATTTGCAAACTAATTATTTATAAGAAACTAATATCCAGAATATACAAGGAACCCAAATGATAGGAAAATAACCCAAGTAATCCTATTAAAAACTGGGCAAAAAAACATGAACAGACATTTCTCAAAAGAAGACACACAAACACGCAACACGTTTATGAAAAAATGTTCAACATCCCTGATCATCAGAGAAATGAAAATTAAAAGCATAATGAGATGCCCTCTTACCCAAGTAATAATGGTTATCATTAAAGAGACACACACAAAAAAACAGACATTGGCGAGGGTGTGGAGAAAATTATACATTACTTTTTGCAATGTAAACTAGTACAGTGCTATGGAAAACAGTATAGAAATTTCTGAAAAACCTAAAACTAGAACTTTCATTTGATTTAACAATGTCTACTGGATATCTACCCAAAGGAAAAGAAATCAGTATATCAAATGGATACCTGCACTAGCATGTTTATTGCAGCACTATTCATGGGAGCAAATATATGGAATCAACTTAAGTGCCCATCAACAGATGAATTGATAAAGAAAATGTGGTATATATACACAACTGAATAATATTCAACCATAAAAAGAATAAAATCGTGTCATTTACAGCAACATGAATGAAACTTGAGGTCATTATCTTAAGTGGAATAAGCCTGGCACAGCATAAAGACCTTGCATATTCTCACTCATATCTGGTAGATAAAATATTTGATTACATGAAGTAGAGAGCAGAAACATAGGTAACAGAGACTGAGAAGGCTGATGGAAGGGAGGAACAACACAAGTGTGTTATAAGGTATAGGCACGCAGGAAAATAGCAGGAATAGATTCAATGCCTGATAGCAGAGTACAGTTACTATACTGAACAAAAATATATTGTACTCAGGTGATGGACACCTTAAATACTCTGAATAGTTTCCTACTGAAACTATTCCAAAAAGTTGAGGAGGAAGATCTCTTTCCTAACTCATTTTATGAGACCAGCATCACCAAAACCTGGCAAAGACACAAAAACAACAAAAAAGAAAACTCCAGGCCAATATTCTTGTGGAGCATAGATGCAAACATTCTTAACAAAATACTAGCAAACCAAATCCAACAGCACATCAAAAAGCTAATCCACCATAATTGAGTAGACTTTATCCTTGGAATACAAGATCGGCTCAACATAAGCCAATCAATAAATGTGATTCATCACATAAACAGAACTAAAAGCAAAACCACATAATCATCTCAGTAGCTGAAGAAAAAGCTTTCAATAAAATTCAACATCCCTTCATGTTAAAAACCCTCAACAAACTAGACATTGAAGGAACATACTTCAAAATAATAAGAGCCATATATGCAAAATCCACAGCCAACATCATACTGAATGGGAAAAAGCTGGAAACATTCCGCTTGATATACAGAACCAGAGAAGGATGCCCACTCTCTTCACTCCTATTTCACATAGTACTGGGAGTCCATGCCAGTGTAATCAGGCAACAGAAAGGAATAAAAGACATCCAAATAGGAAAAGAAGAAGTCATATGCAATCCCATTCACAATAGCCACAAAAAAAAATACAATTCCTAGGAATACAGCTAACCAAGGTGGTAAAAGACCTCTGCTATGAGAATTACAAAACATTGCTCAAAGAAATTGGAGATGACACAGACAAATGGAGAAACATTCCATTCTCATCGACAGGAAAAATCAACATTGTCAAAATTGCCATACTGCCCAAAGCAATGTACGGGTTCAATGCTATTCCTATCAAACTACCAATGACATTATTCCCAGAACTAGAAAAACTATTTTAAAATTCATGTGGAACCCAATGCAATCCTAAGTAAAAAGAAAACAAGGTGGAAGCATCTCATTACCCAGCTTCAAAATATTCTACAAGGGTACAGTAATCAAAACAGCATATTATTCCTACAAAAACAGACACATAGACCAATGGAACAGAATAGAAAGCCCAGAAATAATGCTGCACACTTAAAACCATCTGATCTTTGACAAAATTGAGCAAAAGAAGCAATGGGGAAAGGACTTGGTATTCAATAAATGATGCTGGGATAACTGGCTAGCCATATGTAGAAGATTAAAATTGGACTCCTTCCTTACATAATATACAAAAAAACTCAAGATAGATTAAAGACATAAATCTAAAACAAAAAACTCTAAAAACCCTGAAAGATAACCTAGGAAATATTATTTTTGACACACGACCTGGCAAAGACTTTATGACAAAGATGCCAAAAGCAATTGCATCAAAAACACAAGTGGACAGATAGAACCTAATGAAACTGAAGAGCTTCGGTACACCAAAAGAAACTATCAGCAGATTAAACAGACAGAATGTGAGAAAATATTTGCAAGCTGTGTATCCAACAATGGTTTAATGTCCAGAATCTGTAAGGAACTTAAACAAATTACAAGCAAAAAACAAAGAACCCCATCAAAAAGTGGGCAAAGGACATGAACAGACACCTTTCAAACGAAGGCACAATGTGAACTACAAGCATATGAAAAAATGCTCAACATCGCTCATCATTAGAGAAATGGAAATCAAAACTACAGTGATATATCATCTCATACCAATGACAATGTCTATTACTAAAGAGTCAAAAATAATAGATGCTGACAAAGTTGCAGAGAAGGAAACACTTATGCACTTCTGCTGGGAATGTAAATTAGTTCAGCCTTTGTGGAAAGCAAAGTTTGGTGATTCCTCAAAGAACTTGAAACCAAATTGACCCAGCAGTCCCATTATTGGCTATATTCTCAAATGAATATAAATTGTTCTACCATTATGACAAATGCATG
The DNA here is from genome assembly GCF_000001405.40 of Homo sapiens. Classification (NCBI taxonomy): domain Eukaryota; kingdom Metazoa; phylum Chordata; class Mammalia; order Primates; family Hominidae; genus Homo; species Homo sapiens. Next base: position 4,821,286 of record NC_000024.10, on the reverse strand, counting down.
CATATGTTTATTGCAGGACTATTCACGATAGCAAGGAAATGGAATCAACTTAAGTGCCCATCAACAGTAGACTGAATAAAGAAAATATGATACATATACACCATGGAATACTATGGAGCTGTAAAAATGAATGAGATCATGTTCTTCGCAGAAACATGGATGGAGTTTGAGGCCATTATCCAAAGCAAACTAACAAAGGAAGAGAAAAAACAAATAATGCATGTTCTTTCTTATAAGTGGGACCTAAATATTGAGAACATATGGACAACAAGAAGGGAACAACAGACACTGGGGCCTAGTTGAGGGTGGGTGGTGGGAGGAGGGTGAGGATCAAAAAACTACCTATCACGTACTATACTTATTTACCTGAGTGATAAAATAATCTGTACACCAAAACCCCACGACATGCAATTTACCTATATAACAAAACTGTACATGTAACCCTGAACCTACAATAAATGTTAAATAAAATAAAAGAAGAAATACATGTTTACTTTTCTAGAAACAATGTACTAGTCAGCTAAAGACAGATAGTTTAAGTTAAAAAATATAGTTTTCATCTCATACCAAATATAACTGTGCAAATTGTTTTCCTTAAAAATAAATGTGTAGCAAAAAATGTGTATACTTCTCAGTATAATCTGTAAAAGTAATACCTTTTTCTAAAAATGTCTGAAACACTACATTTATAGTGAATTAAAGCAGATAGACACAAACATGGCTAAAGTCAAGTCATTTTATTGTACTGATTGTTTTAAAAATGACATTTGCTGTAATGAAAGCAATCAAAAAGTTGTTGCAATAATTATGACCAAAAAAATTAAAGCAACAACTGTTTTCCAAAAATTGATTTAATTGGAAATTGAATTTGACAACTTGTTAAAGGAGGGAAGTAGAGGATAGAAAGTTTCTCTGATTATAACAGGTGGTATAGAATCCATATGGAATTTAAAAAATACCTGAATAATTTATATGTAACTTTTGTTCTGACAGCATTTCCACTTTTTCATTATATTTTTAGAGGTCTAGTCTAGGGGGGAAACATCTGATGATATTTGGTGTCGAGCCTAGGGGAAAAATATTTAATAATACTATTGATTAAAATATAAAAATTGGAGTTGATTCAAGCATTTAAGGAGCATTTCCCAAGAATAAATTTTACATTTATTCCTGAAACGAAGAACACATACTTTGAGTTGTATAGAAGCCATGTCCTCCAAAATTACTCCTGGCTAGTCTTTGAACTTCTGATTTAAGTACCTAAGGTCCATTTTCCTAAGAATATTCTATCTTTAAATAAAATAATATGGCAAAAGATAGCCAAGTCATGTTTTTAAAATAGTATGCAATTTTAACATTCTGACAATAGTGACTAAGTAAAATGTAGGAAAGAAGATTATTTATGTATTTAATATATCTACATATAGAGAATTTATACATGTAAACTCCTGTTTTTAAATTATACAGAAATATTTTTCATATATTTTACAAGAAAGTTGCTAAGGAAACATCACAGTGTAAATGAAGCACTTATGTATTCTTATTTTATTTTACTTTGTTTTATTTTATTTATTTATTTTGAGAAGGAGTTTTGTTCTTGTCGCTCAGGCTGGAGTGCAGTGGCACAATCTCTGCTCATTGCAACCTCCACCTCCTGGGTTCAAGCGACTCTCCTGTCTCAGCCTCCCAAGTATCTGGGATTACAGGTGCCCACCACCATGCCCTGCTAATTTTTGTATTTTTAGCAGTGATGGAATTTCACTATGTTGGCCGGGCTGGTCTCGAACTCCTAACCTCAGGTGATCTTCCCTCAGCCTCCAAAGTGCTGGACTTACAGGCGTGAGCCACCACGCCCAACCAGCACTTATGTATTCTTATAGTAAATGTTAGTGACATTGTTATACGGTTAATTGATATATAGAACAGGTATATATGACACAAGTAGGAAGCTAATATGTATACTATAAGCACTTTAAGGAAGTATTGTAATTCATTAACAATGAGAAATGACAAATACATTTTTCTTATGTATATATTTTTTGACAGAGTCTCACTCTGTTGCCCAGGCTGGAGTGCAATGGCCGGATCTTGGTTCACTGCAACCTCCACCTCCCGAGTTCAAGCAATTCTCCTGCCTCAGCCTCCCTAGTAGCTGGGATTACAGGCGCTCGCCACCATGCCCAGCTAATTTTTGTATTTTTAGTAGAGACGGGGTTTCACCATGTTGGCCAGGCTGGTCTCCAACTCCTAACCTCAAGCGATCCGCCCACCTCAGCCTCCCAAAGTGCTGGATTACAGGCATGAGCCACCATGCCCGACCTTCTTCTTATCATTTTAAACAGACTGATAGTGAGGCTTATGAAAATATCATCTCTCTAACATCTATGAAAGTCCATAACAATAGCTCATGAACTCTGTTTAGCAGAGTAATAGCAGTTTCAATTACTTGCCTTTTAAATGTTGAATGTCGAATCTGAACAGTGAAACTGTCAAACTGTCAAAAATATATATCATAGGCATTTTTTTCTTATCATGTTAAGAACTATGCAAATGTAGCACAGCAATCCTCTTCGTAGAGCTAATACTGTTTCTTTTTCCTCAGTAATAATAAGATTTTTCAGAGTGAAAGTTGCAGAAACGAATTCTGTATTTAAATGCAATTTTTCTGGGCTTGGTGGAGGGAAGAATCTCAGAGCTAGTAGTGGATTTATTTATTGACTTAGTATTCTTTTTCTTTTCTTTTTTTTTTTTTTTGAGATGGAGTCTTGCTCTGTCGCCCAGGCTGGAGTGCAGTGGTGCGATCTCGGCTCACTGCAAGCTCCGCCTCCAGTGTTCACTCCATTCTCCTGCCTCAGCCTCCCCGGTAGCTGGGACTACAGGCGCCCGCCACCGCGCCCGGCTAGTTTTTTGTATTTTTAGTAGAGACGGGGTTTCACCATGTTAGCCAGGATGGTCTCGATCTCCTGACCTCGTGATCTGCCCGCCTCGGCCTCCCAAACTGCTGGGATTACAGGTGTGAGCCACTGCGCCTAGCCTTGACTTGGTATTCTTTTTTCTAAAGCATATAAAGAAGTTAGGAAGCATTTACTCTCTTATATTGTGAGAGGAAAATTAAGATTAGAAAAATTATTCAGCCTACAAATGAATTTCTCAATGCAGCACCCAATATGTCCTAGAGTGGGCATGTCTGGTGTCTCAGATAATAATTATGTGAAGAAAAATGATATGAAACATCTAGCTTGTTTTAGGCTTGACCAAAGTTCTGTTAGGCCCTAGGAACTTGAGCTGAGGTCGTCTTCACTACCAATGGGACTACCTCAATTTTTGTATTTCTGAGTGAAAATAAAGAGATTTCAGTGTTTTAAATAACATTAGAAGGCACAGAAATGGAGTGAGATGAGACAGATTTGGGATTCCTGTGCCTTTCTCTCTACCAGTTTTGTATTCAAGTCATGTTATTGTCATTAAAATTTTTAGCAATTAAGCACACAGCCTATAATTTCTGCTTCTCTGGAGGCTTGAGCCCAGAAGATCACTTGAGCCCAGGAGTTCCAGACCATCCTGGGCAACATAGTGAGAATGAACTCTTCTAGATCCAGGTCAACTACCACTTTGATCCAAACTACTTGTGTAAATAACATGTGATAAGTCATAAAAATGTGCCCAGTATTACAATCTTTTCTGAATAAAACCACCAGAGAATGGTGAGAATGAACGCTCCACTGCCAACAGAGTCAATAATAGGTTTTATTCATCAGTAAACTGACTCCTATCATGATTGCAACAAGTGGGCTAGGTTTGTAAATTTGTAAATGAACATTTGTAGATTGTTAATGTTTATGTTATAACAGCTATGCTGAAGGCCAAAGGCTTAACTTCAGTCCTGTCGTTAAGCTCTCAATCAAAGGACTTTTAATATACTTTCTGAAAAGTGCTCGTTCTTCACTTCTGTGTCTCCTAGTTTGTCTCTTGTCCTGGTTGCCCAGGAAGTTATAATACACAATGTGTGACATTCTTTTTACTATAGCTCTCATTATAATTGTAATTCTGCAAGCTAAGATTAATGAACAGTGATTGCTACAGTGTTCAGAATGAAGGGATGAATTAACAAATGCATTTTTTAAAAACCATCAATAAAATTTCTATAATTGTAAAGTTAAATTAAAAATAATCAATATATTTGGCAATATACATTTTTTAATGTTATGAAGGAAACTCCTTCTGCATATATAGCTTTTCTAATTAAAATTTTGACTAAATCTAAAAATATACCTGTTATAGAAATTTCCCATTGTTACAGTGTCATGAGAGTTTTCTGGGGAACATTTTTGTTTGCAATCCTAGACCAGCCTCTTATTTTGAAAATATCCCAACACCATTTATTAAATAGGGAATCCTTTCCCTATTGCTTGTTTTTGTCAGGCTTGTCAAAGATCAGATGGTTGTAGAAGGGTGGTGTTATTTCTGAGGCCTCTGTTCTGTTCCATTGGTCTATATATCTGTTTTGGTACCAGTACCATGCTGTTTTGGTTACTGTAGCCTTGTAGTATAGTTTGAAGTCAGGTAGTGTGATGCCTCCAGCTTTGTTCTTTTTGCTTAGGATTTTCTTGGCTATACGGGCTCTCTTTTGGTTCCATATAAAATTTAAAGTAGTTTTTTCTAATTCTGTGAAGAAAATGGTAGCTTGATGGGGATAGCATCAAATTCAGCAAACTAACACAGGAACAGAAAACCAAACATCACATGTTCTCACTCATAAGTAGGAGTTGAACAAAGAGAACACATGGACACAGGGAGAGGAACATCACACACTGGGGCCTGTTGAGGTGTAGGGTCTAGGGGAGGGATAGCATTAGGAGAAATACCTAATGTAGATGATGGGTTGATGGATGCGGCAAACCACCATGGCACATTTATACCTATGTAACAAACCTGCACATTCTGCACATGCATCCCAGAACTTAAGTATAATAAAAATAAATAAATAAAAGTATCAGTGGGGTGGAAATTGTCAAGTATTGAAATATTCATTGTCAAATATCTTCTTTGATTTTCTGGAATCCTTACCCATTTTTGGTTTTTTACCTGACCATGTTTAGAGAAATAAGTAGACAAAATATATATGCACGTGTTTTATCTAGCCCCAATTTATTTTTCTAAAATTGATAATATATTTTTCCTTTTGGTTCACTCCCATGAAATAGAAGATCAACTAAAACTCACAAGAATGTCAGAGATTACTTAAATAACAAATATAGATATCTTGGGTTTCCTCTCTCAGGATAGTTTCCTGTTCAAGTAACTGACCTTACAGACAGAACCTCAGAGGAGAACCAACTAGATCTGCATCAAAGGACCTTCATTTACAAATGTAAGGTAAATAACTCACCCTATAGTTTACTCTGTTTAGAAAACAACCAGAACCATTAATAAGATTACTAATAGTGTCTTATTAAGTGAAACTTGTTTTGTTACTAGAAGAATACTCAAATGCTATATTTACGAGTAAAAAAGTGAAAATATTTCATTTTTTTTTAATTATACTTTAAGTTTTAGGGTACATGTGCACAATGTGCAGGTTTGTTACATATGTATACATGTGCCATGTTGGCGTGCTGCACCCAGTTACTCGTCATTTAACATTAGGTATATCTCCAAATGCTATCTCTCCCCCCTCCCTACACCCCACTACAGGCCCTGGTGTGTGATGTTCCCCTTCCTGTGTCCATGTGTTCTCATTGCTCAATTCCCACCTATGAGTGAGAACATGCGGTGTTTGGTTTTTTGTCCTTGCGATAGTTTGCTGAGAATGATGGTTTCCAGCTTCATCCATGTACCTACAAAGGACATGAACTCATCATTTTTTATGGCTGCATAGTATTCCATGGTGTATATGTGCCACATTTTCTTAATCCAGTCTATCATTGTTGTACTTTTGGCTTGGTTCCAAGTCTTTACTATTGTGAATAGTGCCGCGGTAAACATACGTGTACATGTATCTTTATAGCAGCAAGATTTATAATCTTTTGGGTATATACCCAGTAATGGGATGGCTGGGTCAAATGGTATTTCTAGTTCTAGATGCCTGAGGAATCGCCACACTGACTTCCACAATGGTTGAACTAGTTTACAGTCCCACCAACAGTGTAAAAGTGTTCCTATTTCTCCACATCCTCTCCAGCACCTGTTGTTTCCTGACTTTTTCATGATCGCCATTCTAACTGGTGTGAGATGGTATCTCATTGTGGTTTTGATTTGCATTTCTCTGATGGCCAGTGATGATGAGCATTTTATCATGTGTCTTTTGGCTGCATAAATGTCTTCTTTTGAGAAGTGTCTGTTCATATCCTTCGCTCACTGTTTGATGGGGTTGTTTTTTTCTTGTAAATTTGTTTGAGTTCATTGTAGATTCTGGATATTAGCCCTTTGTCAGATGAGTAGATTGCAAAAATTTTCTCCCATTCTGTAGGTTGTCTGTTCACTCTGATGGTAGTTTCTTTTGCAGTGCAGAAGCACTTTAGTTTAATTAGATCCCATTTGTCAATTTTGGCTTTTGTTGCCATTGCTTTTGGTGTTTTAGACATGAAGTCCTTGCCCATGCCTATGTCCTGAATGGTATTGCCTAGGTTTTCTTCTAGGATTTTTATGGTTTTAGGTCTAACGTTTAAGTCTTTAATCCATCTTGAATTGATTTTTGTATAAGGTGTAAGGAAGGGATCCAGTTTCAGCTTTCTACATATGGCTAGCCAGTTTTCCCAGCACCATTTATTAAACAGGGAATCCTTTCCCCATTTCCTGTTTTTGTCAGGTTTGTCAAAGATCAGATGGTTGTAGATATGCGGCATTATTTATGAGGGCTCTGTTCTGTTTCATTGGTCTATGTCTCTGTTTTGGTACCCCAGTACCATGCTGTTTTGGTTACTGTAGCCTTGTAGTATAGTTTGAAATCAGGTAGCATGATGCCTCCAGCTTTGTTCTTTTGGCTTAGGATTGACTTGGCAATGCGGGCTCTTTTTTTGGTTCCATATGAACTTTAAAGTAGTTTTGTTCCAATTCTGTGAAGAAAGTCATTGGTAGCTTGATGGGGATGGCATTGAATCTATAAATTACCTTGGGCAGTATGGCCATTTTCATGATATTGATTCTTCCTACCCATGAGCATAGAATGTTCTTCCATTTGTTTGTATCCTCTTTTATTTCATTGAGCATTGCTTTGTAGTTCTCCTTGAAGAGGTCCTTCACATCCCTTGGAAGTTGGATTCCTAGGTATTTTATTCTCTTTGAAGCAGTTGGGAATGAGAGTTCACTCATGATTTGGCTCTTTGTTTGTCTGTTATTGGTGTATAAGAATGCTTGTGATTCTTGCACATTGATTTTGTATCCTGAGACTTTGCTGAAGTTGCTTATCAGCTGAAGGAGATTTTGGGCTGAGACAATGGGGTTTTCTAGATATACAATCATGTCGTCTGCAAACAGGAACAATTTGACTTCCTCTTTTCCTAATTGAATACCCTTTATTTCCTTCTCCTGCCTCATTGCCCTGGCCAGAACTTCCAACACTATGTTGAATAGGAGTGGTGAGAGAGGACATCCCTGTCTTGTGCCCGTTTTCAAAGGGAATGCTTCCAGTTTTTGCCCATTCAGTATGATATTGGCTGTGGGTTTGTCATAGATAGTTCTTATTATTTTGAGATACGTCCCATCAATACCTAATTTTTTGAGTGTTTTTAGCATGAAGCGTTGTTGAATTTTGTCAAAGGCCTTTTCTGCATCTATTGAGATAATCGTATGGTTGTTGTCATTGGTTCTGTTTATATGTTGGATTACATTTATTGATTTGTGTATGTTGAACCAGCCTTGCATCCCAGGGATGAAGCCCACTTGATCATAGTGGATAAGCTTTTTGATGTGCTGCTGGATTTGTTTTGCCAGTATTTTATTGAGGATTTTTGCATTGATGTTCCTCAGGGATATTGGTCTAAAATTTCATTGTTTTAAATACAGTTATTTATTTAAGTAATTATTAAGCAAATAAAGCAAACTGTTAAGCAAAGGAGACTTCATAACAATGCTGGTTCTTCTGGCTTGGAAAGATTTGCAGCATAATCAGAGAGCCTATGTTTTACTGACTTTAATCAACTTCCCTGTGTACTCTAGACAGCCTCAAAATTATTCAATTATCACATCTCTCAAAAGGCATTTTCTTAAATCAGGCACAGAAACTCACTTTGGTGAGAAAGTAAGAGGGCCTTGTGCAAAAGCCTTTTCTTTTGTAAAGCAGTACAGCCAAGTTTAGGGTCTGACCAAACAATACAGAATGTAATTATTTCAACAGACATTACAACTTGCTAATTTATAAACTCTCCCTCCTTCTGGAGCCCTCACCTCCACCCCACACACAGAGTTAACTCTCCTTGAGAAAACATCTAGTCATTCCCCTTCAGGACCACACTTGGAATATAAATGACCGGAAAAAAAAGACTATTTTCAAAAGCACTAGAGATGTGTACCTTTCAGAGAGAATGCTAAGAGATTTAGATTTCATACTGCAGTGTGGGTGTTTTGCCCTTTTTCTGTCTTCATTGGAATTAGGAACAATTTTCCACTCTGTTTTGGTGATCATTTCCCATTTGCTCATGATGAGCCCAATATTATGCTACTTCCCCTTTTTAGCTCTATGCTGAATAATTGCAAATTTTTTAACTTGCCTAATTTTTCTATTTTTACAATTCTTTCCTCAGATATGTGGCTCTTTTTTGAACTGTTTTCAAATTCTCTAAGTTTTTACTTACAAAGTCTTAGAGATTGCTTGCTTATCTCTCCAGGGTTTGCCTAGGGATGAATAAAATTGAGGGGCAGCTAATATAGGCTATTTTTCTAAATGTATAAAATTATTTTTTATTGTGGTAAAAAGAGTCAACATGAGAATGACTCTCTTAACAAAATTTCAAGTGTACAATACAGTGTTTTTAACTATAAGCATAATGTTATACAGAGTATCTCTGGAACGTATTCATTTTGCATAACTGAAGCTATATAAATGTTGACCAGCAACTCACCATTTCCCCTTACTCCTTCAGCCCCTGATAAACACCATTCTACACTCTGTTTCAATGAATCTGACTACTTAAGATATCTTATGTAAGTAGAATCATGCAGTACTTGTCCTTCTGTGCCTGGCTTATTTCAGTTAGTCCAATGCCCTCCAGGTTTATCCATGTCGTTACGTATAACAGGATTTTCTTCTTTAAGGCTGAATAGAATTTTACTGTTTATTTATATCACATACTATTTTTATCCACTCATCTATGGGTGGACATTTGATTTGGGTTTTTTCCACATATTGGTCATTGTAAATAGTGTTGCAATGAACGTAGGAGTTCTAATGTCTCTACAGGATTCTGATCTAAATTCTTTTGAATATTTACTCAAAAGTGGGATTGCTGGCCAGGTGTGGTGGCTCACGCCTTTAATCCAGCTCTTTGTGAGGCTGAGGCAGGTGGGTCACCTGAGGCCAGGAGTTGGAGACCAGCCTGATCAACATAGTGAAACCCCATCTCTGCTAAACATAAAAAAAAATTAGCTGGGTGTGGTGGCACAGGCCTGTAATCCCAGCTACTTGGGAGGCTGAGGCAGGAGAATCGCTTGAACCCAAGAGGCTAAAGTTGCAGTAAGCAGAGATCTCGCCATTGCACTCCAGCCTGGGTGACAAGAGCAAAACTCCATCTCAAAACAAAAACAAAAACAAAAACAAAAGTGGGATTGCTGGATCATAAAGTAGTTGAGGAACCTTCATACTGTTTTCCTAGCAACTGCGCCATTTTACACTCCCACCAACAGTATGTAGCAATTCCAATTTCTTCACATCTTGACCAACATTTATTATCTTTTGTATTTCTTTTCTTGAGACAGAGTCTCGCTCTATCGCCCAGGCTGGAATGAAGTGGCATGATCTCGGCTCACTGAAACCTCTGCCTCCCAGGTTCAAGCAATTCTTTGCCTCAGCCTCCCAAGTAGCTGAGATTACAGGTGCCCACCACCACGCCCAGCTAATTTTTGTATTTTTAGTAGAGACGGGGTTTCACCATCTTGGCCAGGCTGGTCTCGAACTTCTGATCTCATGATCCACCTGCCTCAGCCTCCCAAAGTGCTGGGATTACAGGCGTCAGCCACTGCACCTGGCCTGTATTTCTTTTAAATAATGTTCATTCTAATGGCTGTGAGGTGATATCTTATTTTGGTTTTGATTTGCATTTCACTGATAATTAGTGACGTTGATCATCTTTTCATATACCCATTGGCCATTTGTATGTCTTTTTTGAGAAATGTCTATTCGCATTTTTTTTTTTTTTGCTATTGAGTTATAGGAGTTCCTTATATATTTTTAATATTAGATCTTTATCAGATATGTGGTATGCAAATACTATCTCCCATTCTAAAGGTTGTCTTTTCACTCTTTTGATTGTTTCCTTTGCTGTGCAGCAGCTTTTTAGTTTGATGTAGTTCCACTATTTTATTTTTGTTTTTTTGCATGTGCTTTTGGTGGTTTCTTTTATTATTTTATTCATCAGATGTGTACAGCAAATCTACTGTATGCTAGGAGCTGTTTCAGGTGCTGGAGATACAATAGAGAACAAAACAGACACAATTATGAAGTTTATAATATTCTGGGACTTTACATGTATTGTTGGTTTTAATATTTCTTCATTAAAAAGGTAAAGTTGCAGATTCCAATTTGCTTTGTTACCCATATGGTCTAGTTGCCGTTCCCCATCTTGTATCTGTGATGGTAGTCAACTGGAGGAAGAGAAAGATGCCACCCCTAAGGTTGGTTGAAAATAGAGGATGTTTGAAAATAGACTGGTAGTAGCCAGAAACTAGGATTATGGAGTGCCTGAGGGTCAGATTCCTTCACATTTGATCGTCACTGACAACCATTTTCCATTACTGAACTTAAACAATAGTGTGGTCTCTGAAACTATGGCCAACACAGTCAGAGAGGAAAACATACTTTTTCCAAATGAGAAAAAAATACACATTACAGACACTCTTTGTACAGAGTCTTAATACTGCTTCCTATAATGATTACTCCAAGCTACTTGAAGACACCATACCGAGCATCCCAGTGAAAGCTAGTATAGGGCACCATGTATTTTTCTAAAACATTGTTTTATAAATATCTTTTAATCTGTTTGTAAAGTAGAAGAACCAAGAATAATAAAAACTGATGCTTTAGTATAGGCTTTTCAGAGTTAAAAAAAAAAAAAAACAGTGCAAACGCAGTCAGCAAACATTTGATTTTAAAACCTTACTTTTTTATTAAAGGGAAATATGTATTCCAATATGTGAAAAGAAATATAACTAAAACATGTAGAAATCTAGCTTCCTCATTCATTTTCCCTGATATAGGAAAAGAAGGGGGAGTGGATATTATGTGTATAATATAGTGGAAGGGGGAAGATTTAAGAAGAGGAGAATGTGAAAATTCTACTGTAAATCATTCATTTAATCAATTAATTACTGAAGCAATAATATTTATTTAAAATTAAGCATAGCATTTTACCTAACTTAAATACTCACTGTAGAAGAAAACTAGGTGGATTGAAAGATTAAAGTCAAAAAAAGTATTTCATTACATGTTTGTATAACAACAAAATTAATGAGTTAAAATAAGATACATGTTACATTATGAAACATATCATCAAGTGTAAAGAATAAGAAATTGGAATGATTGAGGGGACACAAACAATTATAAAGTGGCAGAAAATTTGTGGTCATTTCAGATAGTCATAAATGCTATCAATAAAATAAAACAAGATAAGGGATTACTTTAAATAAGATGTTTAGGGAGCAAACGCTACAATCCAGTGAGAGTGAGTCATGCAAGTACCTGAAGGAGGTTCAGTGCAGTTGACTTGGTAAAGACTGGCTACTAACATGACAGTAAAAGCCATTTATTCGCGATACTGTCAATATGTAGTCAACTATATGCCTTGGTTTTTGTTGCAATCATTTAGAAAGGAACACTTCTTTTAAATAAGAAAAGAATCAGAGTGTGCAGCATGGTTGTTAGATTCAGAGCCCAAGCCTCAAAGCATACCAGATTGCATTTGAAGTAGATATCAGAGAAATATGGAATTCACACCCAAAATTCACAATTCTAGTCTTTCTGTTAATGTCTTTAATCTTTCTCTGCTTTCTCTATTATCAAGAGCCCTGGTTATAGTACCTAGGTTCTAAAAATTCTAGCATCTTTTTAAGCTGAAATCCTGCTTATTAAAGCCTCTTTGTTTTGAGACAGGGTCTCTCCCTGTCACCCAGGCTGGAATGCAGTGACACAATCATAGCTCACTGCAACTTTTACTTCATCAGCCCAAGCAATCCTCCCTTCTCAGCCTCCCAAGTAGCTGGGACAACAGGCATGCACCACCATGCCCAGTTAATGTATATGTTTTTTTTTATTTTTGTAGAGACGGGGCCTGACTGTGTTGCCCAGGCTGCTCTTGAACTCCTGGACTCTGGTGATCCTCTCACTTCAGCCTCCCTAGGTGCTGGGATTACAGGTGTGAGCCACACCCCCAGACTTAAAGCCACTTTTATTAATACTAATGCTGATAACAATAACACCAGCAGCCTCTGACATTTATTAGGTGGTTATTATATGTCAAGCACTGTACTAGGCACATTTACTCATATTATTTCATATAACTTTCACAACTTCGTGGAAAGGTAAGTATCATCTCAATTTTATAGATGAGAAAGGTGAGACTCTGAAAGATGTGGTAATTTACCCCAAATCTAAGTAGGTAGTAAGTAGAAGTATCCAAGTCTTCCTAACTTCAAAACCTGTGTTCCTTCTTTATCACCCTTTTGTCTTTTTTTTCAGCTCAGTTCTCAGTTGTAGACAAGGAATTATGAAAATATTTGAGCAATGAAGGGAGGGGAAAGATTATAGTAGAGGGTAAGTTGGGATACAAAAAGGAAGATGTAGAATATGAGAGTAGAGAGTTTACATATTTTCTAATAAGCAACAAGAAGCAAAGGAAGGATTTTAGTGGTTGTGGCATAATAAACTTTTATTACATACTGGTGTTTTACAGGATGAATTATAGGAGATAGAGTGGAAAGAAGTTAGGACACAGGAAGAATAGCTGGGAAGCTGGGAAGAAAATGTAATGATGAGATGTCTGACTTAAAATAATGCTACTGTAATAACAAGGAAGGGAAATGGGATACTTTAAAAAAGAGTCGTGAGGGCTTGATGACTGGATAATATTTCTATAAATTCTCTTAGAAATATAAAACAATCATGACTTTTGGGCTGAAATGGAGAAAGGGAAAAGGAAATATCAGAAAACATTTAAAGATATTTAGCCCAAATAACTTGATTTATAGTAACAACATCCCAGAGACTTCATGGGATTATATTTAATATTGAACATGTATTGATTTAGTCACATTAAATTTGTTCACATTAAACTATTATTTCTTATTACATAAACTTTCAAACAGTTATTTTCAAAAAATCTACAAGTCATTATTATTACTGTTACTTCTTTAATTATTCAGTTTGCTCGCTGAATAATTTTACAGACGAGAGCTGTCTTACTTCAGCCCACTCTTAACAGAATACCATAGATTGGGTGACTTAAATAACAGAATATTTTTTCATGCATTTCTGGAGGCTGGAAAGTACAACATCAAAGCACTTGCAGATCTGGTGTCTGGAGAGGGCACTCTTTCTGGTTTGCAGATTGCCATATTGTCATATCCTCACATGGTGGGGAACAAAGAGAGAAAGGAAGTTGACTCCTGTCTTTTTACAATGGCCCCAACTTCCTGATCTGATCACCTACCAAAGGTCTCTCCTTCTGATATCATCACATGAGGGGTTAAAATTTCAACATAAAATTTTTGGGGAACATGAACATTCAGTCCATAGTCTGAGCCAGAATTTCTTCTTAGATTTTTCATATGTGTACCTTGATAAAATAACAATCCATTTAAATGTGTTTACCCTTTACCTGGCAAATATTTTAGTAGTAAAACTTTTGGAATATTTATTATGAAAATACATGATGTAGACATTATAAATTTATAAAATTTAATATTTGACATAGTTCCCCCAACATGTCTTTATTGTTTTGCTCTTTTAAGGATTTTCATCATTTTTTTAAAAAGGATTTTCTAGCTGATTTTAGCTGCTTTCCTAAAAAAAAAAAATGGAATAAAATGTTGATAGCAACCATATTAAAATATTTCTTATTCTTCTTATATGTGAAGAAGAAAATCTACTGGTTTTTACATAGCAGGTATTATGTTGTTAATTTGTGAAATATGGAATCTGAAATATATGTGCTTCTGAAAATTTTATAAGTGCTTATGTATTCAAACATTTTTGTCTAAATTAACATTAGTACAGAATTTAAAAGTCAGTAGTCAACTTAATTTCAGGCTTGCTAAAATGGATAATGAATATCTTTAGGATAATTTATGTAAATATCCTTCTTAAACATGATAAACATGTATTTACATATTGTATATAATGTCCGGAATGTTCAAGAAATAAACTTAGTAAACATTATCACTTTCATCATCATCTTCTCCACCTTCATCATGCTTAAATATTATCATGGTTATATTTTATATTTAAACAATGAAATTCAGATCAAAAGATTAGTCTGACAAAAACAAAGTTATTTCAGTAGAAATATCTGGAAAAACATCCCTGCCACTATTAGCTTACACAATAACAAAATACTATTCAACAAGTTCTTCATAGGCTATCAAAAGGAAATATTATTTTTTCTATAGGAACTATAATATATAAATGAGAGAAGGAGAATATTTATGCATTTCAGTCATATTTAACAAAATAAGAGGAAAGCTGAATGTCTTTAGTGACTTGGCATTATGACCAAATTATAATTTCACCAGACTCTAAGAAACAGTTTAATAGACACAGTAATGGTTGATGCATTTTAACTCTTAAATAACTTGGCTTATAATGTGAATAAGTTGTATTACTATGTTAATGGCTTTAACAGGTTGGTGAACACGTGGAGTTATCGGGAGGGTAGCATGCCTGGGTAGGGCACAGAAGCTCTGTGCCCCTTCCTCCATACCTTGCCCTATGTTTCTGTTTCATCTGACTGTTTCTGAGCTGCATCTTTTTATAATAAACAAGTAATCTATTAAGTTAATTCTTTTCTTGGGTTCTGTGAGCCATTCTAACAAATGATCAAACCTGAGGATAATCATGGAAATGTCTGTTTTCTAGCTGGTTGGTCATAAGCACAGATGGCACTTGGATTTGTGATTGGCATCTAAAGTGAGGGCAATCTTGTGGAACTCAACCCTTAACCTGATGCTAACTCCAGATAGATAGTGTCAGATTTAGTTAAATTGTAGGACACTTAGCTGGTGTCTACAAAGAATTAAATAATTTATTGGTGAGAGAAAGAAACCACACATCTGATGATGTCAGAGTATACAGAAAAAATAATTGGTTTCTCCTATTCACTCTGCTTTACAGCTTATTGCCATAATTTGTGGTAAAGTAATTCTTACCACCCTATTGTGTCTGGAGTTGGTTCCTTTCAGTGGGTTCTCAGTCTCGCCAACTTCAAGAATGAAACCGTGGACCTTCGCGGTGAGTGTTACAGCTCTTAAAGTTGGCAGGGACCCAAACAGTGAGCAGCAGCAAGATTTATTGTGAAGAGCGAAAGAACAAAGCTTTCACAGCATGGAAAGGGACCTGAGTGGGTTGTCACTGCTGGCTGGAGAGGCCTGCTTTTATTCCTTTATTTGTCCCCGTCCACATCCTGCTGATTGGTCCATTTTACAGAGTGCTGATTGGCCCATTTTACAGAGTGCTGATTGATGCATTTACAATCCTTTAGCTAGACACAGAGTGCTGATTGGTGCGTTTTTACAGAGTGCTGATTGGTGCATTTACAACCCTCTAGCCAGACACAGAGCACTGATTGGTGCGTTTTACAATCCTTTTGTAAGACAGAAAAGTTCTCCAAGTCCCCACTCTACCCAGGAAGTCCAGCTGGCTTCACCTGTCACTATTACAGCATGCCAAATCAGTTATATAATGTTTTCACATTGTAGTTGTTAAAGGAAGAGCAAATATCAGTTTTTAAAAATTACCTAAATTACAATTCCTTCTTTTATTCATTGACAAAATATTTAGTGACTACCTCTCTCCTGCTTCTTTTAGTGAGTATATAAAATAGCCAACAACTAGTCCAGGAGCTGGCATTAACCTGAAAAGGAAAATAAAGGTGATTTCTTCAAGCCAGAGTCTCGATGGAAAATTCAAAGAAATAGTCTATCAATTACAAAATGTGATAAAGGTGTATGACAGAAAAACAAGTGCACAGGCATAATACCTAATATGTAGTGGGCAAAGAATTCACAAAGAAAGAGGTAGAAATGAGGAAAAGAAAGAAGGATATAAGTAGGATCTCACCAGTAATAAAGAAAATGCAAATCAAAATACATATCAATTTCCAGTCTGGACAAGATGGAACGGATATATTTTATCTTTCTTCTCTCCACTAAGTACAATATAAAACCCTGGGCATGATACAAGAAGCAATCAAACAACTCTGAAAAGGTGATAAAGTAGGTGTATTGGTTTGAAACCCTGGGACTGGTGACACACCATAGCAGCAGAGCATCAGACCTCCTCCCACAGAACAAAATGTGACTCAGACCTAGCATTTTCAAAAGCCAAATCCAGTCATAGAAGGCAGTCCAGATAGGCCCATTCTTTCATCTAACAACACACTAAGGAAGTCTGACATCATCAACAAGGAGGATTGATTAGGATCCCTAAGAACAATAAGCAGCCAAAAAAAGTGCTTTCCTTTCTTGCAGGACTGAGAATTTCCTTCCCCCACTGAGAGATACTGAGGGGACAGAGGCAAGAAGGATCTTGCAAAAACGAATGGTGTGGCCCAGAAAGTCTCTCTTTTCAGGGTCTGAGAGTTCCATACCCCTCTCAGAGACACAAGGGAAATCCTGAGACCCAGGTAAGGAGATCCCACCTCAACAAGGGTCCTGGCCCAACAAGCTCTCTCAATCCCCCTCAGGTAAGGCAGATCCTGCCAAAACAAATACCAAGCCAGAGAACCCTCCTCTCCCCCACAGGCCTCACAGTCTCTTCCCCTGCTGGGATACGAAGTGTCAGACAGGTACTATGGGCAGGAAGAGCCCAGCCACAGTGGATAGTCATTCTCAGAAAGTCTCTTTTTCTCAATGGGCCTGAAAATACCCTCTTCCACCCAGAGACACAGGGGCAAATGGAAGGCCTTTGTAGGAATTCTTAGGAACCAGTAATATTGTTAAGGAAACCTCTTCATCTCAGGGTACCTGGGACTCCCTTTTCCCATGGAAAGACACTGGCCAAGGAAAATCCCTTCTGCAACTATAGCCATTGCTGTCATGGACAAGTAGGAGATAAGTATCACATAAACTGAAAAAAACAAAATAACACAACAAAGCCTCTGAAAATATACTGTCATAGAAACCACAGTCCAGAAAAGTAGACCAGAATCTGCATGCTGACTATAAACAGAATGAAGATCTGATGAAATTAAACATACAAATAGACCCAGAATCTGCTGGAATAATAGAAGAAATATTCAGGATACAGTTGAAAATCACTGGTCACACTAAGAATAAAGAAAATCACAACTTAAATGAGAGGAAACAATCAACTGATGCCAACATTGAGACAAATCAGATGTTGTTAATCGTCGAATTATCTAACAAGGATTTCAAAGCACACATCATAAAAATATTTCAGCAGTGCATTACAAAGTCTCCTGAAACAAATGGAAAATAGAATATTTTGAAATGAAATGAGTTATAAAAAATGGAAATTTTAGAAAAATACATTAACAGAAAAAAAAGCTTGAATGAACTCTAAGAGAAAGAAGTCACTGAACTTTAGGATAGATCAACAGCATTCACCCACTCTGAACAAGAGAGGAAACAGATTTTTTTTTTTTTAGAGAGCCAAAATATATAATGATTTGCATCTTTGTAGCCCAACAAGAGAGAAGGGTTGAAAGACTATATAGGGAAATAATAGTTTAAAACATCCCAACTTGGTGCAAAACAGTAATTCGGAGATTCAATAATATGAATGTACTTTAATTAGATAAACTCAAAGAAATTCACATATCATAATTAAATTTCTGAAAACTAAAGACAATATTAAATACGGAAAGCAGCTAGAGAAAAATGATGCATTGCTGTTAGGAGAATACCAATATCCTAATGATAGTGGATTTCTCACCATAAATTATGAAGCCAAAATCTAAAGTGTCATAAGATCTTGTGGGAAGAACTGAAGAAGGTGATCTTGCTTCTGCACAGCCAGCTGCAATCCATTGAGGAACATGCCTCTGAGCCACCATTATGCCTGGCCATTTACAGGAATGCTTCACCTGCATGGTCATCAGCCCATTTAACCAGTTCTTTGAAGACGAATTGGACCCATTCAAGGTGCTGAAGGCAGCTGAGAACTAGAGAAAATAAGCCAACGGGGGTGTCACTGGGGGAGCTGGGGCCAAAAGCTCATCTCAGGCCATGGCCCAGACCAACTCCAATGCCACGGACAAACAGTTGTATAAAGAGTCTCAGAAAGACAGCAAGAACCCACTTGCCCCAAAAGTTGGCATGGTTGGCAAGAGGACATATAGTGCCCATGGAGGTTAAGAAAGAAGGAATAAGGTGAATTGGAAGAAGACCCAATCAACAACTGCAAGGTGAAGGGAAAATAATTGAGATAAGACGGGGAAGGGCAACCACCTCATGAAGGAAGATTTGAAAAACCACTTGAAAAGGGTGAAAGAGGAAAATTTTATCTGATAGACCTATCATTGACCAACCCATTCGAGGCTGTGGTGGCCTTGGAAGAAGTAGAGAGGGCTGTCAAAGTGAAATGGGCCAAGGGTATGGATTTTATTTTTATGGTAAATGTGAATTTGATAGGCATGCTGGTAGGCATGCTGGAAGGCATAGATCTAGCCTGAAGCACAAGGACAAACATGGAGGTAGTGGATTTTACAACTGGGGAACTGTGAATGATAAGTTAACTGACTTGGATTAATCAAATATGACCTAGGAAACACCTGAAGGTGAAGAACTTCCAGTGGCAGACACTGAAAATAAGGAGAAGGAAGTTTAAGAGGTAAAAAAGAGGGTCCAAAAGAGATGACTTTGGATAAGTGGAATGCTATTCAAAATAAGGACTGGCCAAAAGTAGAATTTAATATCCAAAAACAAAACAAAGGTACTGATTGATGGGCACTGGAAGAAGAGATGTGCGCTTCATAAATCAAAGAGTAAAGAGATTCATGCTGAACTTGTCATTAAGGACCATCGTTTCTGAAAGCCAGCAAATGATAAAATGTCTCAGCGGGAGATCAATTTTGGAGACCTCGGCCCTGGAGGACTTGGTGGGAGGGGAAGACAAGGTGAATGTGTGGTGGACCTCAGAACCTCAGCAGCAGGACTGACAAGTCAGGTGCTTCTGTTCCTGATATGGATGACCCAGAGGCATTTCCAGCTCTGGCTTAACTGAATGCCATAAAACAACCATGGTTCCTTTGTGGGATTTCCTGTTCAATGCCTTTGCATGCGTAAGGATTCGAAACAATGAAGAAATCATGTTTTAAAAAGGCTGTCATTCACACAATTCACACTTAAAGACTGAATTGTATCTGTTTTAAAAATGAACTTCTCGGCCGGCGCGGTGGCTCACGCCTGTGATCCCAGCACTTTGGGAGACCAAGGCGGGCAGATTACGAGGTCAGGAGATTGAGACCATCTTGGTTAACGCGGTGAAATTCCGTCTGTACTAAAAATACAAAAAATTAGCCGGGCGTGGTGGCGGGTGCCTGTAGTCCCAGCTACTCGGCAGGCTGAGGCAGGAGAATGGCGTGAACCCGGGAGGCGGAGCTTGCAGTCAGCCAAGATTGCGCCACTGCACTCCAGCCTGGGCGACAGAGCGAGACTCCGTCTTAAAAAAAAAAAAAAATGAACTTCTCTCACTACATAAAATTAACAAATATGGTAGTCAGTTTTGTATTTAAAAATGTATTGGTAGGTATGTTTTTATAAATACCAGAAATTATGCATTCTTCATGAATACTTTTGTATTGCTGCTTGCAAATTTGCATTTCCAAGCTTGAAATATAGGTGTGAAATGTGTATACTAGTTTAAAGCTTTCACTTCATTTATGTTTTTTTATTTTAAATTTTTTTGTGGATACATAGTAGGTGTGCATATTTATGGGATACATGAGATATTTTGATACAGGCATGCAACATGAAATATTCACATCAAAGTATATGGGATATCCGTCACCTCAAACATTTATCCTTTGTATTACAAACAAACCAATTATGCTCTTTATTTTTAAAATGTATAATTAGATTATTTTTACTATGGACACTCTGTTGTTCTATCTAATACAAGGCATTATTCATTCTTTCTATTTTTTGTACCCATTAACCATCGCCACTTCCCTCCACCACCAATCCCTACTACCCTTCCCAGTCCCTGGTAATCATCCTTTTACTGTCTGTCTCCATGATTTCAATTGTTTTGATTTTTATATCCCACAAATAAATGAGAATTTGCGATGTTTGTCTTTCTGTGCCTGGCTTATTTCACTTAACATAATGATCTCCAGTTCCATAGATGTTGTTGCAAATGACAAGATCTCATTCTTTGTTATGGCTGAATGATACTCCATTGTGTATATGTACCACTATTACTTTATCCATTCATCAATTGATGGACACATATGTTGCTTCCAAATCTTAGCTATTGTAAACAGTGCTGCAACAAATATAGGAGTGCAGATATCTTTGATATACTGATTTACTTTCTTTGGGGTATATACCCAGCAGTGGGATTGCTGGATCATATGATAGCTCCACATTTAGTTTTTTGAGTAACCTCCAAACTGTTCTCCACTGTGGTTGTATTGATTCACATTCCAGCAAGAGTGTACAAGGGTTTCCTTTTCTCCATATCCTACCAGCATTTTTTATTGCCTGTCTTTTGGATATAAGACATTTTAACTGGGGTGAGGTGATATCTCATTGTAGTTTTCATTTGCATTTCTCTGATGATCAATGATGTTGAGCACCTTTTGCCATATGTATGTCTTCTTTTGAGACATTTCTATTCAGATCTTTTGCCCATTTTTCAATTTAATTATTAGACTCTTTTTCTATAGAGTTTTTTAAGCTCCTTATATATTCTGGTTATTAATCCCTTGTTAGATGGGTAGTTTGCAAATATTTTCTCCCATTCTGTGGGTTGTCTCTTCACATTGTTGGTGGGTTTTTTCTTGTTGTTGTTTTCATTTTTGTTTCTGTGTAGAAGTTTTTTCACTTGATGTGATCCCATTTGTCATTTGTGCTTTGGTTGCCTGTGTTTGTGGGATATTACTCAAGAAACTTTGCCCAGATCAAGTCCTGGAGAGTTTCCCCAATATTTTCTTGTAGTAGTTTCATAGATTGAGGTCATAGATTTATCTTTCATTCATTTTTCTGTGTTTTTTCTGTTTGTCAAGAGATAAGGGTCTAGTTTCATTCTTCTGCATATGGATATCCAGTTTTACCAGCACCATTTAGTGAAGAGACTGTCTTTTCCTAGGTGTATGTTCTTGGCACCTTTGTGAAAAATGAGTTCACTGTAGTATGTGGATTTGTCTCTGGGTTCTCTATTCTGTTCCCTTGGTCTACATGTCTGTTTTTATGCCAGTGCTATGCTGTTTTTGTAAACATAGCTCTGTAGCATACTTTGAAGTGTGGCGATGTGATTCCTCAAGCTTTGTTATTTTTGCTCAGGAAAGCTTTGGCTATTCTGAGTCTTTTGTGGTGCCATATAAATTTTAGATTTTTTTTTCTATTTTTTGAGGAATGTCATTGGTATTCTGATAGGGATTGCATTGAATCTGTAGATTGGTTTGGTTAGTATGGACATTTTAACAATATTGATTATTCCAATCCATGAACATGAAATATCTTGTCATCTTTTGGTGTCCTCTTCAATTTCTTTCATCAGTGTTTTATAGCTTTCATTGTAGAGAGGTTTTACTTCTTTGGTTAATTCCTAGGTATTTACTTGTATTCATGGCAATTGTAAATGGGATTACTTTTTTATTTCTTTTTCAGATTGTCCACTGTTGGCCTATAGAAATTCCACTAATTTTTATCATTTGTGTTTTTTAATCAAGGATTTAAATGTTCTCTCAATTACAAACTGGTTTTAAATATTGAACATATCAGTTTTAATACCTGCTTTGCATTTTCACACATGGTCAACTGGCACATGTTAAACTTTGATTTGTTTAATATTTTTCTTTTTGCGGAAAATTTTTTTTTCTTTTGTCATGATATCCAGATATATACATGTGTATATACTAAATATGCTCAGAAATATCAGTACTTGAACCAATTCAAAGCATATTGGTTTAATAGCTCTTGCTTCTTGCGTGGTTCATTAGGTTCAAATTATAATTAATTTACAATTTCAACTGTACTTACTTTTCAAATGTATGACTTTCACATTTTAAAAGCCAAACCAGACACTTTATTTGTGAGAGCTATTTAAGCTACTTATCGTTGATAGACACATTCTGCGAAGCGAAGTTGTTTTATGGGTATGGGTTTTACCCACTCCAACAGGGTGGGTGGAATAAGTTGATTTGGCTAATGTGTAGCATTTAAACTGTTCTATAAAATAAGTGTCTGGCCAATTGATATAATTTCTGTGTGTGAAAATCTCCAAAATCAAAATGGTATATCCATAATTGATAACTCTTTAATCATTCCTTTTTCTAACAAACAAAAAACAAAAGACAGTGGTTAGTATGATGAGAAGGATAGTATTTTAATTTTTGGAATTTGGAAAGCAGACAGTTTTACTTTACAAGGTTGGAACAGCATCACCATCCATGAAATATAAACCCCAAATCTTTACTGTTTCTGGATTTCTTATATTGCTATTATTTGGTCATAAGTTGATAGAGGAATATTTGTTCCACAGAAAGCAATAATTATTTTTCCTCTTCCTCCATTAGAAAATTAGGTTAATAATGAATTCCGTTAATGGGAGCATCACCACTTATTAAAACATATACGGAGAGAATGATGCATAAAACAGATTTTCTAGGAGAAAAAATAGTGTCACAACAATTTGGAAGTGATCAAAGAAAGAAATTGTTAACATCAGATTCTATATCTAGCAAAACTATTCTTCAGAAATGAAGGGGAAATTAGAAACTTTATCAGATTAAAGGAAACTGAAAGAATTTGTAGCATACCTACTCTTAAAGGCTAAAGGAAGTTTGTCAAACAATTAAAGAGATAAAAGAAATAATCTTGGAGCATCAGGAAGGAAGAAGAACAACTGAAAGATTATAAATATGTGTACATAAATGGGCTATTGTTTTTCTCATGAGTTTTATAAATTATATCAAGTCAATTATATGTGTGTATATATATATTTGGAGACAGGGTCTCTCTCTGTCACCCAGGCTAGAGTGCAGTAGTGCAATCACAGCTCACTGCACCCTTGAACTTCTGGGCTCAAGCAATCCCTTTGCCTCAGCCTCCAACATATCTGGGACTACAGGCCCATGCCACCACATTCATGTTTTCATTTTGAAACAATTTTTAAGGGCACTCTAATACATATATGATTGCTTTTATCACTTGATTTTCAATTAATGCAGAATACCAAGTGGTGTTTTTGCTTTATTTCCATTACTGCTCCAGCCCTTTCAATGGCCGTTCATTCAAAAGGAGATTTTATTCCAACTTTTAATGAATATTTGTAAATGGTACTTAAGACTTTATTAGGCAGAGCAGTAATAGAGCTCTGCCTAATTAAACTGTAACAACCAACATTTACACATAATTTATTAGAAGTGGACATATTCTTTAAAAAAAACACAGTTATGTGGCCTGAACATGATATAGCTAATATAACACATGAAAAATAATGAGCATGTGTCTTCCTATTGTTTTTGAAGATGGCTGCTGAAAAGCAACCTAATAACGTTGCATATTACTTACTTAGTGAGTATTGGGTGATTATGAACTTCTACTGTGACTTTTGATGAGTCATGTGTAAATTATTCATTGTAGAAGAAGGCAAAACCATATGGCACATCATCTGTTGAGTATATTTGTGTTCAATGATGCCCAGCGTCATATCCCTAGCAAATTATTACATGCTGTTTGTTATTCAGAGACTAAGTAAAAGGAGTTGGTAGTCTCATTTTAATGGCCAATAAAACCTTATTTACATCACATAATTACCTGATAAAGCCCCTCCCCCCCTTGACTGACTGACGATCAAGGTAGGAGGTTAAAACAGACTAAATAAGACAGACTTAACCCATTCTACATATAGTCTCCTTGAGATAGAATTAAAGTTGTTATAAAGGGAATATAGTGACTTAACGCACATATCAAACTCAGCAATTACAAAATGTCAATTGTTAATTGTGAAATTTTCAGTCTCTGAATTAACTTAAAGTAATAACCTTTCATTCTTGCTTTACAGGTTATAATTAGTTTAAATAGACCACTTTAGTTCCATTTATAGTATTTATAGACAAGATAGTGTACATAGACAATTGATTGAAATCTTTTTCAGAAGAAATACCTTTAAGCAGGAGCAAGGCTAGAGTAATTATTTTAAAACATGATCCTGAAAATAATCAACCCTCCCTACTTTTTTTCCAAAATAAAAATATGAAAGAGACTTGTTAAAATATTTACCTATACCAAAGACATAAAAAGTAAGATACTTTTGAGTTACTAATTAATTAAAAGAAACATCTCATTGACTAGAAACATAATAACCTAAGGACTTAGGGAATTCCAACAAGAATTACCGAAAAATAGAGAAACAAAGCTTTTACAGAGGCATTTATTATTTTCATTAGTTTATATCTAGTTTATTTTTTCATTTGTCCACATGCACATGTGAACATTCATTTGGCAAACACTTACTCCATTACAATGCACTATTGTTTCCATGGGGGATTGAAAAAAAGGAAGATGACAAAATGTTGAAAGTCTAGTGAAGGAGACTCAAATGACTATCAATTGAAGGCTAATGTAGGTAGTACAACAGAAACACAGGCAAAATGTTTTGGAAACGTAACAAAGGGTTAGCTGAATTCTGACTGAGCAGATCCAGGGAAGATTTGACACCTGAGTTGGCATTTCTCAAAAAGACAAATGACACAAAAGTATAGAAACCACTGTAATATAGGAATTTGGCTCATACTCTGTGAAGAAACAACTTGCATAATTGAGACTAATGAACCCGTGGAATGATCGCATTCTATTCTTCCATGCTCCATTCAGCTAGCTCTGTCTCATCTTTAAGTGTCAGTTTGAATGTCATATCTTTAGAGTGACCTTTCCTAATCACCCCAAATGAAATATTTACCCAAAACTTTGCTCTCTACAGTAGTCCCCTTATCCAAAATGGATAATCTTCAAGATTCCCAGCAGATGCCTGCAACTGCACATAGTACAGAACCTTATACACACTATAATTTTTCTATCTGATACCTGAAATGGCTACTAAGTGACTAATGGGCCGCAGGGTCTACAACATGTATACACTAGACAATGGGAAGATTCACATCCTGGGCAGTACTGACCCAGGAGGGTGCAAGATTTCATCATGCTGTTCAGAACGGTGTGCATTTTAAAACTTAGGAACCGTTTATTTCTGCAATTTTCCATTGACTATTTTTGCACCACTGAAACCTCAGAAAACAAAATTGCAGAAAAGATAGGACTACTGTATTTTAGTGTCCTGCTTATTTCCTTCACAGAACATAATTTATACTCTGCAGTTACTTTATTCACTTCTTGTATTGTTTTGTTTTAACATTGTTCTTCAAAGCAATGTCTCAGTCTTGTACCATTAGTGTCTATACAGTAGTACCACACAGATCTTTTTTTTAAAAAAATGAATTGATAAAGAAATAAATGAATCCATCAATGAAATGGCTAGGATTTTGCAAAGGTGGTTAGATCTTTGACTTCAAATTTTTTTTTTTTTTTTAACCCAGTTCTTCCTTTCTTTTTTCTACTGGTATATATTACTAAACCCTTTGGATACTCCCACAGTTTTTAGAAGTTCTGTTCTGTTTTTTTTTATTCTTTTTTTTCTCTTTGCATCTCGGTTTGGGAAGTTTATACTGGTATAGTGAGGAGAAATTCGCTTCCTGTTGTTGGAAAAGTTTTAAAATATTATTAATATTTAATATTAAAATTATATTATAATAATTACATATTATTTAAAAGGTTGTTAATTTTCTGTTTGTCCAGCATTTTCTTGATATAAGGAGTGATGGCTTACAAGGTCATTTCATGTCAGAACAGAAACTTGAAGTATAGGTTCACCATTAATTTACTTTGTTCATTGGCCCTTCTGATGCATATAGCACCGCCACGTCCTTTCCCTGTTTGTTCCTAACTATGCTAAGAAACTGTAAACATTTAGTGGTCACTAAAAAACTGTTTTTCTCCTAGATACTTACCTTGTTAGCTATGTCAAACAAGAAAAATGTGGAGTTGTTGGGTAGTTTCTTCTAGGACAACTGATAGATTTCCCTTAACTCTACAATGGTTTATCTTTATTTATTGGTTATGGGCCACAGCTATTTTTTTTCTGTCTGAAGTGCAGTAATATACCCTGAAGATGAAAACAAAAAAATGTAAACTACTGTTTTTCCACTGTAGGTTTCATTTCCACAATTCTGGCCTAATGCTTTAATCACCAATTCTGGAGAAATCATTGAGCAGTATTCCGGGAATAGTAAAACGATTTTGTAAGCTTGATGAACACTGTGACAATAAAGTAATTAATAGTTACGAGCAATTGTTATTTTTTCCATGTATGAATTACTTAGAGTAGCAAAAATTAAATCATTCCAGTCATCACAATATTTTTGTTAAGGCAGTCCATTTCTTCATAGGACTATTTCTTTGTAAGATAATTAAACTGTTTTAAAGCAGAAATATTGGAATTTTTATTACATAGAAAAAAAAAACATGAACAACAAGCATACAACCAAGTATACATTTCTCATCTGGATGCCTGAATATTTCTCTCCTCGTTTTGTGTGGTATCATTTAGTTTCTTTACCAGCAACAATCTTACCATTATTGGAAATTCTGCCATACATATGTGAGCTGAGCCAAGTATTTAATTATAGGCTGTATCCCTTTACAAGAACCTGACAGAAGAACCATTTTATTTTTTGATAGACTGTTGAAGGAGAAATACTGTAGCTTGCCAGAATGATGGAACACAGAATATCACAAGGTTGACTGAATGTTCTGCTTTTCAGCAGATGTCTGTAATAGTCATCCCTGAGGGTGGGAGGGTACTCAGTGAGATGTCTAACTATTGCCAAATAAAAAACAAATCCGTATTTGGTTAAGAAGAGACTTTATTGGAAAAGACTGCTGCATAAGGGGGGTAGGACCATTGCAATTGGGTAAAAGATTTGCGAACCTTGAGCCTCTATAAGGTCAAACATAAAGGTCTTTTTTTTTTAATTATCATACTTTAAGTTTTAGGGTACGTGTGCACAATGTGCCGGTTAGTTACATATGTATACACGTGCCATGCTGGTGTGCTGCACCCATTAACTCGTCATTTAGTATTAGGTATATCTCCTAATGCTATCCCTCCCCCCTCCCCCTATGGAGGTCTTTTTAAAAATAAGGAGTAAACAAGGCTAGAGGAAACTCGGTGTAAGGGAGTAGAACAAACAGGTAACTTGAATAGACAGGTTATCAGGCAATGTTTTTTCTTATGCTCAGCCTATTTTTCAGAAGGACTGTTAAAGACGGGCTGGCTGTTCACGCTTTGATGCTGGCTTGTGCCGAAGGTTGGCCAAACTTCAGATTTCTCAGAGGAGGGAGGAAGCCTGACTAAAATTTGATCAAGTCAAGTTAGTGGGTAATTTGTACAAATTGATCAGTTTGGAGAAACAGTTCGGCTCATCATATACGACACACAGAATGGGAATTTGGAGGATGCTTCTGCCCTTGTCATAGGTAGCCAAGGGAGTCATCTGCTAGTCTTATCCAAGTCACATGGAGAAGGGCGTTTCTTTATGGTAAGTCATTTCCTAGAATACGAAAATTTGATGGTGGTCGGGAGGTGTGGAGGTGGAATTTATCTGTGTTTTCCAGGAGCATAACTTCAAACTTCAATGTTGTTAATATTTTTTCAAGATACCACTAGAATATATTGAGAGGGGCCCATATTTGGTGATAGATTTCTTGTAAAGAATACTTGCAGTGATTTATTCATGTAAGGATATTCATGTCTTATTGAATGCCAGATAAACAAATATATTGCCCATTGTTTACTGGGCTGTTCCATCTTTAAAATCAGTTGTAGAATATTATGGAAATCTTTTCTACAGACAAGGCAGAATCTTTCATTGTTACCAAATACAAATCTTACAAGGAAATTCTTAACATAGAAATAAAAAATCTTAGTTTGCTATAAATAAAAAATCCCTACAGAAGAAACATGCAGTCTTAAAAATAACAACAATTACACATTTCGGGGTTCATATATTATGATAGAGAACTTGGGGAAAGTGAGGGTCTGAAGTAGCAATCCTTGTTTCTATTTCTACCAGGTTATAGAACTTTGGAGAAGGGCACAGAATGAAAACACCTATTGTTTCGCTGTCCTTTGCCCTCCACCTGATCACCACATAATTTAAGAATAAACTTAAGTTAAAAATAAGCACACGGTTTCTATAATAATTTTGATTTGTTTGCCCTCATAATTTAGACTCCATCGTGTCCTCTTCACTGTAGACCATAAATAATGTCTATGTATCATGGTTTGTGTTGTGTTAACCTTGCCTTAACAGTAAACCCTTATGTTGGAATTTTGCTTGTCTTACCATAGACAGGCCTAAGTCTGAGCTACATGCTTTCTGACACATGGAATTTTATGATACTGTATTTCCTTTTTCAGATGTGCTGTCACGTGTGTTGATTTAAATTCTGCACAGCTCCTATGTTGCCATCACCCAGCTGTTAATGCATTTTCTCTTCATAAATGACTTATCAGACATTGTAGGTCCCCTTCATTAACTTTCTCGTTAAATGCTTCCACTACCAGACACTTAACAATGTTGGAACAAATGATTGTTTTTGTGTACCTTAAATGTACTGAATAGCTCAGTAGATTTCATAAAGTTTTGTTCATTGGTATTTTGCCCCATAAACACATGGTTATGTTGGTTGAGATGTTATTTTATGTTGACCTGGAAACTTCAACATAGTACTGTAAACAATGTGTTTTGTAATATGGAATCTTAACTATATATCATACAGTGTTTTGGTGTATGTTGACTACTCTTATTTACCTCATTTTCTCATAAATATCTTTAGGGACAAAATTCTTGTATAAATAAGATACAAATGATTTTTCTTTGTTCTATCTGTGGCTATAAACATTTAGAAAAATGGGTTATTGAGTAGAGACGTCTTTAAAAAGAAACCCTGGATAATGGGAAAATTATCCACTGCTTGAAAAGATTTGAATGTCTAATCTCATTTATTCTTTTTTGTTCACAGGTGCCTTAAAGCAGCACATAATTGCCAATGATTCCATAATTGTATCTTACCACAACCTTCAAATGAAATCTATTTTACTATGAAACAGTTAGTTAAGTGGTATAATCACAGACACATTCTGACTATCAGAGATAGAAATGGCATTTGGTAATTTATTTTAAAAACTAAATTTTGCTGTAACTAATCTACTTTGTGAATTTATCCTTTTTCCAGAACAGAAATTTCCACCTGTGTTTGCTGTGAATCTTGTAAGCTAACAACTTTTAAAACCACAAAATTTATGTTAGGTCATGTAATGTATGACTGGATTGGAAAGAGAGCTACAATGAAATTAAATCCACTATAATTCACTTTAATGCAATCCAGATATTATTTTGCCGTATTCTTTTCTCATATATGCTCTCTAGAAATTTATGAGAGAAAGATTTTAACAGAACAAGAATGTTGAAGATCATTTTAGCAACTAAAGAACTGTATTTCTAATTTTATAAAATGCTAATTACAGCAGAAATTTCACTCTAATTTTTTGAAAGCCTATAGCTATGATGTTGTCTAATAATGGGAATATTTCATTTACTAAAGTAAAGCCTGATATATGATTTTGTTATAACTAAGTAATTTGGAATGATTTAGATCACAAAGGCTGCCCACAGTATTCTTTTTTAGTCTCTTTCTTAGAGGTCAAATTTAGTATAAAGATAAGAGTATTATCATTAGAACACAGGATAAAGTGGTAACTTGGATTTCTTTCCAATTTATGATATACACATAGGAAATTTTTTAATTTATGAAATAGGAAAACATGTTTTTTTTTCATTTCCAAATCTTAGACAAAGCAAAGTGAAGACCTCTGAGGAAGCAAATGCTTAAAAACATAAAATTGAAAAGTAATCAGGCAAATAATTATGTGATCGCTGACACTGACTCAGATATAATAGGGTTTCTTGCTCACTTACAACTCATACTTAATGAAAAACAAGAAATAGGAACGAAGCCCAAAGCAGTGTGCTTTTTCTCCCTGTGGGCATTAAAGTCTGAATAGATCTCTGAAAAAAAATACTACCTGAAGATTTTCAGATACAGTAGAGACAAATAATCTAAATACTAGAACTGAAAATCACCTGTTTCTAGAAAGAAGAATATTTTACTGCTGTCAGAATATAATTTATTTTAAAGACAGTAAAAAAGATTGTCTATCACCCTATATATAGACATCAGACCCTAGTAATTTTATTCTCAAAATATTTTATCTTTCATCATATTTATGTTGTCAAAACTCACCTCTGTGTGTAATTGGAGCCTTGTAGTTATTGAAGGAACATTACATATATAAATATATATGTTTCAACATAGATCAGTGCAAATCTTTATAATCTTATAGACTTCTTCCCTGATTATACAGCAAGCCATTCATAGTCCTGTGCCACAATATCAACTCTAGCTTTCCAAACATTGAATATCCTCAGGCAACAGTAGAGACTAGAGAGGAGATCTTTTTAAAAAAAAGTAGACATGTACACTAAAATGATAGTATTCACTCCAGCACATAATTGGAGGTTTAATTCATGAATACTTTCTGCTTTTTAATATCTTGTTTTCTTACTCTTTTCTCTGATTATTTCAAATGTATTTTGATTTAAAACTAGACATTCTTACCTTATCCATACGGTCCTTGGCCCTTTTCCTTTTACCTGGTACAAATTATGAATCTCACAGGCTAGCCATCAGCAATTTACATTTTACCACTATCCAGGGAAATGAGAAGCCAATAATGCCATTTTTGCTGATGTGGCTATTAAGGCACAAAATCAGTTGGAGGCGAAGTGGAAAAGAAAACTCTTAAACTTTTCACTTCTAGCCCATTGTTTAATGACATCTTCTTCATTTCATTGTTAATGTCATAAAGGATGACTCAAACTTAAGAATTCATATTTTGTCATTTACACACAGCCTCCCTTTTTCTTCTCTCCTTTGAATGCAGATCATGAAAATTGATAATAAAAACACTAAATAGAATAAAGTTAATATTAAAAGTCACTTCTAGCTCAGGTTTTTAAGGCAGCAAGTATATAGAAACTGAATAGATCAGGAAATATATAAATGCATAATAATTTAAAACGTTAAACTCAAGAGAATCATAAGATAAAATTAGAAATAACATCCAAAGAAATATCTTATATTTCTTCTTTTTTTCTGAAATAGTAACCTGTACTAACTTCATTATATACGTATTTATTTAAAAGAAATAGTGGTAAAATGATTGAGATGTGATTAACTACTGTTTCCTTAATTTCCAATATATTTGCTTCTCATGTACACCTTTGAAACGTGTTGTTAAAAACTTAGAATGTATAAAATTACTGTATCTCAATGTCTAGAATTAGTACAAATATTATCATTACTTTAGATAACTGAAAAGAAAACACTGGACATGTTTCTTTCAGCAGGTTTTATAGTGGATGATTAATAATAGAAATGTGGCAGTACGAACGATCTAAATGCTTTGAGTTTTTAGAACTCTTGCAAATAAATGATTTTTTCTTAATAAGAAGTGGCCCATAGGCCCAGCTGCAATAATTATTCCATTTGTACATGACAGAGATTTTATGGCATTTAGTCCAAATTCAGAAAGATTCTTTCTTTCCTTAAATACAAGGCAAATGCCCCTATGGATCCATTTACTGAGGTGAAGGAGGCCAATGAGGTCAGTCAAGCATTGCAGAGATTTGTGTAAAAGACCTTTGTGATCACTGGGAGCCATTGGGAGATTAGTTTGGCATGGATTTTGTGAGCAACTTATTCAAGACCTGATTCTCATTCGCACAAGACTGCTCAACAGGACACCTTTGATTCTCCGGAATCAAAAGGTGAATAGCAAATTAGCTGGGAATGGCACATGCCTGTAATCTCAGCTACTAGGAAGTCTGAAGCAGGACAATCTCTTGAGCCCTGGAGGTGGAGGTCGCAGTGAGCCGAGATTCTGTTACGGCATCCCAGCCTGGGCGACAGAAGGAGACTCCGTCTCAAAAATGAAATAAAATAAAACAAGTGAATAGCGTGCGAATGGCATTTAGTGCTTAGGTAGGCTATGGCCTCGATATGCCCTATCTCCTAGCATTTGATTAATGTGGGAGGAAAAAAACATTAAAAAGCATGTACATAGACAGTGAATGTTATTAAATGGTGGAAGCAACTGGGTCATTCTTGTCTAATTTAACTCAACCATTTTACAAATTATTTTTCTTCACCTTTAAATATTTGATAAAACCACAAGAAGATTTTTCTAGTAGTTTACATTTTAAAACCACCAAAGTTTAAATTGTAAACCAACAAACTATCTAATAAAAAGACATGTACTTTGAGATGCCTTAATTTTAGGGCATGCATTTTTCTATTGTAATAGGCTACACTGTTCCCTGTATCCTTTTGTTAACTAATTACAGTCATGTTATCAAAATTGGAATCCTTCTCCTTTTATAGGAGTATAAAAAAGGGAAAACAGACTCTGCCTTGAGCCTATGTTCATCATCGTTTCATTGTTCCATGTTAGTTTTCTGTTTACTTGCACCATATCAGTATTCTGAATTGTATTTTAAATTATTGACTGTGCACCTACACTGAGTTGCTGTGAACTGGGGTTCTCAAGATGAATCAGATATGGTCATTGTCTTCAAAACTCTCAAAACCTGATAGGAGACAAACACATAGACAATTGAAATGCAATGTGTTAAAATCAATATATAGACAGCTCAGAGAGCACAGACATCGCATCTGTATTTCTGTTTATATAAAAGCAGCATCTGGGTATACTTTCATATAAAAGGTAATGATTAAGCCACAAAACAAGGGTAGCTGGTAACTATGGAATGAAGGGAAGATCATTCTAGACCGGCAGAATAATGTACATGAAGGTGCAGAGATATAAAAAAAATAATGGTGTTAGGCAACAGCTAACAGTTCAGTATAGGATTCATGAGAAAAAGTGGTATGAGAGAAAACTAGAAGTTAGGGACTTCTCTGTTACTCTAAGTGATTTTGCATATCACTCTAAGTATTTTATAATTTCATCTATGGGTATTAGGCCTCTGTCAATAAGTAATTTTAGGCAGAGGCCTGACATAAGCATCTGCGTTATAGAAAGGTTTCTTTGCTGGCACTGAGTTGGGGGGATGCACAAAGGAGGTGAGGGCTGGGAGGTCATAGAGGTAGGCTGAATAACTGGTTTAGGAGGCTGCTGGCACTGTGTAATAGACACCTGTCATGGATGCAAGGGCCATGAGATGGAAGAGGAGAGGAGAGAACAAAAAAAATTATTTCAGAAGTAGAATTCACCCATCTTTGTTTCTTTTACATGAGACAGTCTTGTCTAGGATGGTTTTAAAGTACTTTTGAATGGTAATTCAAGATTGTCAGGCTTTAGGCACCCATCTATGTTTCCATTTCACAAATTTGTCCCACTGCAAACCAGTGGCAGTATATGAGTACAGTCAAATATTAACTATTTTTTAGTTTTCTGTCCCTAGGTCAATGCACTAATATTAAGCAAATGGACTTGCATGTCTCAACTTGACTTTATTAAGATGTAACAAGTTTTAAACTTGTTTACAAACATGAAGACAAAATGCTTCCCAGATATTTTTCTTTTTCACCAAGTGATGCAAATAATCTTTTTTTTCTTTTTCTCTTTTTTTTTTTAAAATTTAAGTTCAGAGGTACATGCACAGGTTTGTTACATAGGTAAACTTTTGTTATGGAGGTATGTTGTACAGATTATTTTATCACCCAGGTATTTTTTTTTTTTTTTGACATGGAGTTTCACTCTTGTTGCCCAGGCTGGAGTGCAATGGTGTGATGTCAGCTCACTGCAACCTCCACCTCCCGGGTTCAAGCTATTCTCCTGCCTCAGTCTCCCTAGTAGCTGGGATTACAGGCACCCACCACCACGCCCAGCTAATTTTTTGTATTTTTGTTAGAGATGGGGTTTCACTATGTTGGCCAGGCTGGTCTCGAACTCCTGACCTCAGGTGATCCACCCGCCTCAGCCTCCCAAAGTGCTGGGATTACAGGTGTGAGCCACCGTGGCCAGCTATCATGCAGGTATTAAGCCTAGTACCCATTAGTTATTTTTCCTGACCCTCTCCCACCTCCCACCCTCCATCCTCCATCCTCCAATAGGCTCCAGTGTTTGTTGTTCTCTTCTATGTGTCCATGTGTTCTCATCACTTAACTCCCACTTATAAGTGAGAACATGTGGTGCTTGGTTTTATGTACCTGTGTTATTTTGCTAAAGACAATGGCCTCCATCTCCATCCATGTTCCTGCAAAAAAAAATAATAATAATAACATAATCTCATCCCTTTCAATGGCTGCATAGTATTCCATGGTGTTAATATGTACATTTTCTTTATCCAATCTATCACTGATGGACATTTAGGTTGATTCCATGTCTTTGCTATTGTGAATACTGTTGCAATGAACATGTGTGTGCATTTGTCTTTATAATAGAGTGACTGACTTATATTCCTTTGTGTATATACACAGTAATGGCATTGCTGTGTTGAATAGTATTTCTGTCTTTAGGTCTTTGAGGAATTTCCACATTGTCTTACACAATGGTTGAACTAATTTACACTCCCACCAAAAGTGTATACGTGTACCTTTTTCTCCACAATCTTGCCAGCACTTATTTTTCAACTTTTTAGTAATAGCCATTCTCACAGGTGTGAGATGGTATTTCATTGTGGTTTTGATTTGAATTTCTCTATTTATAGTGATGTTGAGCTTTTTTATATGATTCTTGACCACATGTATGTCTTCTTTTGAAAAGTGTTCATATCCTTTGCCCATTTTTTAATAGGGTTGTTCGTTTTTTTTCTTGTAAATTTGTTTAAATTCCTTATAGATGCTGGATATTAGACTTTTGTTGGATGCACAGTTTGCAAAAACTTTCTCCCATTGTGTAGGTTGTCTGTTCACTCATGATAGTTTCTTTTGCTGTGCAGCTCTTTAGTTAAGTAGATCCCATTTGTCAATTTTTGCTTTCGTTGGGATTGCTTTTGAGGTCTTCATCAGGAAACATTTGCCTGTGCCTGTGTCCTGAATGGTATTACCGAGGTTGTCTTCTAGGGTTTTTATAGTTTTGGGTTTTACATTTGAGTCTTTAATCCATCTTGAGTTAATTTTTTGTATAAGGTCTAAGGAAGAGGTCCCATTGTAATTTTCTGCATATGGCTAGCCAGTTATGCCAGCACCACTTATTGAATAGGGAATTTTTTCCCCATTGCCTTTTTTGGTCAGGTTGTCAGAGATCAGATCTATAGATGTGTGGTCTTATTTCTGGAAACTTTATTCTGTTCCAATTGTCTATGTGTCTGCTTTTGTACTGGTACCGTGCTGTTTTGGTTACTGTAGCCCTGTAGTATAGTTTGAAGTCAGGTAGCATGATGCCTTCGCTTTGCCTTTTGCTTAGGATTGCCATGGCTATTCAGCCTCTTTATTGATTCCATATGAATTTAAAAAAATTTTTTAGCTCTGTGAATAATGTCCATGGTAGTTGAATAGGTATACCATTAAATCTATACATTGTTTTTGGCAGTATGTCCATTTTAATGATATTGATTCTATCCATGAGCATGGACTATTTCTTC
This sequence comes from Homo sapiens, assembly GCF_000001405.40. NCBI lineage: Eukaryota > Metazoa > Chordata > Mammalia > Primates > Hominidae > Homo > Homo sapiens. The sequence continues at coordinate 4,784,948 of NC_000024.10, read as the reverse complement.
ATTTGTGTCATCTCTGATTTCTTTGAGCAGTGGTATGTAGTTCTCCTTGTAGAGATCTTTCACCTCCCTGGTCTGCTGTATTCCTAGGTATTTTATTCTTTTCATCATAATTGTGAGTGGGAATTCATTCCTAATTTGGCTCTCAGCTTTACTGTTGTTGGTGTATAAAAATGCTAGTAATTTTTGCACATGGATGTTTTTTTGAGACAGTGTCTCACCCTGTGGCCCAGGCTGGAGTGCAGTGACGAGATCTTGGTCCACTGCAACCTCCATCTCCTGGGATCCCACCACCTCAGCCTCCCGAGTAGCTGGGACTATAGATGCACACCACCGTTTTTTGTTATTTTTTTTGTAGACACAGAGTCTTGCCATGTTGCCCACACTGGTCTTGAACTCCTAGGCTCAAACAATCCTTCTGTCTTGACCTCCCAAAATTCTGGGATTACATGCCTGAGCCACCTTGCCCTGCCTGCACATTCACTTTATATCCTGAGACTTTGCTGAAATTGCTTATCAGCTTAAGAAGTTTCTGGGCTGAGACTATAAGGTTTTCTAGATATAGGATTATGTCATCTGCAAAGAGGGATAGTTTGACTTCTTCTCTTCCTCTTTAGATGCCATGTATTTCTTTCTCTTGCCTGATTGCCCTGGCCAGAACTTCTAATACCATGTTGAATTGGAGTGGTGAGAAAGACCATCCTTGTCTTGTGCCCGAATTCAAGGGGAATGCTTCTAGCTTTTGCCCATTCAGTAAGATGTTGGCTGTGGGTTTGTCATAGGTGGCTCTCATTATTTTGAGGTGTTCTCCTTCAATACCTAGTTTATTGAGAGTTTTTAACATGAAGCAATGTTTAATTTTATCAAAGGCCCTTTCCACATCTATTGAGATAATATTGTGGTTTTTGTCTTCAGTTCCGTTTATGTAATGAATCACATTCATTGGTTTGCCTATATTGAACCACCCTTGCAACCCAAGGATAAAGCCTCCTTAATCATGTTGGATAAGCTTTCTGATGTGCTGCTGGATTAAGTTTACCAGTATTTTGTGGAGGATTTTTGCATTAATGTTCATCAAGGCTATTGACCTGAGGTTTTCTTTTTTTGTTGTATTTCTAAGAGGTTTTGATGTCAGGATGATGTTGGCCTCATAGAATGAGGTTGGGAGGAATTCCTTCTCCACAGTTTTTTGGAATAGTTTCAGTAGCAGTGGTACCAGCTCTTGTTTTCACATCTGATAGAATTCAACTGTGAATCCATCTAGTCATGGGCTTTTGGAGGGAGGTAGGCTATTTATTACTGCCTCAATTTCAGAGTTCTTCATTTGTCTGTTCAGGGATTCACTTTCTTCTTGGTTCAGTCTTGGGAGGTTGTGTGTGTACAGGAATTTATCCATTTCTTCTAGATTTTCTAGTTTTCGTGCATAGAGGTTTTCAAAATATTATCTTATGGTTGTTTTTATTCCTGTGGGGTCAGTGGTAATATCTCCCTTGTCATTTCTTATTGTGTTCATTTGAATGTTCTCTCTTTTCTCCTTTATTAGTCTAGCTAGTGATCTATTTTTTTTTTTCAAGAAAGCAACTTTTGGATTTGTTTGATCTTTTGAATGTTTTTTTTTGTGTGTGTGTGTATGTCTATTTCTTTTAGCTCAGCTCTGATCTTGGTTATTTCTTGTCTTTTGCTAGCTTTTGGGTTTGTTTACTCTCGGTTCTCTAGTTATTTTAGTTGTGAAGTTAGGTTGTCAATTTGAGATCTTTATAACTTTTTGATGTGGGCATTTAGTGCTATAAATTTCACTCTCAACACTGCCTTATGTGTGTCCTAGAGATCCTGGAATGTTATATCTTTGTTCTCATTAGTTTCAAATAACTTCTTGATTTTTTTTTTTGAAGTTTCTATCTGTCACCCAGGCTGGAGTGCAGTGATGCGAACTCAGCTTACTGTACCCTCTGCCTCCTAGATTCCAGTGATTCTCCTGCCTCAGCCTCCCAGGTAGCTGGGACTACAGGCACGTGCCAACATGCCCAGCCAATTTTGTATTTTTAGTAGAGACAGGATTTCACCATTTTGGCCAGACTGGTCTCAAACTCCTGACTTCAGGTGATCTGCCCGTCTTTGCCTCCCAAAGTGCTGGGATTACAGGCGTGAGCCACCTCACCTGGCCGAACTTCTTGATTTCTGCCTTAATTTTATTTTACCCAAAAGTCACTCAGGAGCATGTTATTCAATTTCCAGGTAATTCTATGGGTTATTTTTATGAATTTCTTAGTCTTGATTTTGAATTTGATTGCAATGAGGTCCAATAAACTGTTTATTATAATTTCAGTGTTTTTGCATTTGCTGAGGAGTGTTTTACTTCTGATTATGTGATCTATTTTAGAGTACATATCATGTGGTGATGAGAAGTATGAAATCCCAGCTACTTGGGAGGCTCAGTTGTTTTGGGATGGAGAGTTGTGTGTGTGTGTGTGTATATATATATATATATATATATATATATATATATATATATATATATATCAGGTCCATTTGATCCAGTTCTGAGTTCAGGTTTTGAATATCTTTGTTAATTTTCTGTCTCAATGATCTATCTAATATTGCCTGTGGGGTGTTAAAGTCACCCACTATTATTGTGTGGGAGCCTTAAGTCTCTTTTAAAGTCTCCAAGAACTTGCTTTATAAATCTTGGTACTCCTGTGTTGTTTGCATATATATTTAGAGTAGTTAATCTTTTCTTGTTGAATTGAACCCTTTACCATTATATAATGCCCTTCTTTGTCTTCTTTGATCATTGTTGATTTAAAGTCTATTTTGTCAGAAACTAGGATTGCAACCTCTGGTTTTTGCTGTTTCTATTTACTTGATAGATTCTTCTCCATCCCTTTATTTTGAGACTATGGGTGTCATTGAATGTGAGATGGGTCTCTTGAAAAGACCATATCAATGTATCTTTTTTTTTTAAATCCAGATTGCCACTCTGTGTCTTTTAGGTGTGGCATTTAGTCCATTTAGATTTTAGGTTAGTATTGATATGTTTGGATGTGATCCTGTCATCATGATGTTTTGCAGACTTGTTTATGTGGTTGCTTTATAGTGTCACTGGTCTGCGTACTTTAGTATGGTGTTGTAGTGGCTGGTGATGGTCTTTCCTTTCCATATTTGGTGTTTCCTTTAGGACTTCTTGTAAGTCAAGTCTGGTGGTAACAAATTACTTCAGCATTTGTTTGTCTGAAAAGGATATTTCTTCTTCACTTATAAAGCTTAGTTTTACCAGATATAAAATTCTGGTTGGAATTTCTTTTTTTTCTTTTTCTCTTTTCTTTTCCTTTTTCTTTGAGACAGCATCTCACTCTGTCACCCAGGCTAGAGTGCAGTGGTGCTTCCCAGCTCACAGCAACGTCTGCCTCCTGAGTTTCAGCAATTCTCGTTCTTCAGCCTTCCAAGTAGCTGAGATTACAGGCATGCACCACCACGCCTGGCTAATTTTTGTATTTTTAGTATAGATAGGGTCTCGCCATGTTGGTCAGGCTGATCTCAAACTCCTGGCTTCAAATCATCCACCTGCCTTGGCCTCCCAAAGTACTGGGATTACAGGTGCGAGCCACCATGCTTTTTTCTCTATTCTTGTCTGACTGTCTTATTTCAGAAAGGCAGTCCTCAAGCTCTGAAATTCTTTCCTCTGCTTGTTCTACTCTGCTATTAATACTTATCATTGCATTATTAAATTCTTGCAGTGTAATTTTCAGCTCTATCAGGTCAGTTACTTTCTCTATACTGGTTATTTTTTCTCTCAGCTCCTGCAATACTTTATCATGATTTTTAACTTCCTTGTGTTGGGTTACAATGTACTCCTGTAGCTCAGTGAACTTCATTTCTGTCCATATTTTGAATTCTACTTCTGTCATTTCAGTCATCTCAGCCTCTGTTGGTCACTGACCTTGCTAGAGAGGTGATGCAGATATTTGAAGGAAAGAAGGTACTCTCGCTTTTTGAATTTTCAGCATTCTGGTGCTGATTCTTCCTCATCTTTGTGGTCTAATCTACCTTCAATCTTTGAGGTTGCTGACCTTTGGATGGACTTTTTTTTTCCTTTTATTCTGTTTGATGACCTTGAGCATTTGATTGTGGTTTAAGGTGGATTCAGCTAACTGGCTTCATTTCTGGACAATTTTCACAGGCCAGTGTTCAGCTCCCAACTCCTGGACTATGTGCTCTAACTCTGAGAGACTTTTCTTGAACCCCCACTTTGTTCTCTGACTCCTTAAGGTTTGGAGTCTACTGTGCTGGGGGTGGGAAATGAGGTGCTGCAGCTACATCCAAGTGCTAGGGAATGCAGTGGTGCCTGCCTCCCTGTGAGTGTTCACCACAGTGGTGGAAGCAAGGCAGTTGGTAGGGAGCAGGAGGACTCTGCTGGAGGTTGTGTGCACTGTTGAACTGAAGGTGGTGGTGGTGTTGGTTTGGGGTGGGGTGCTGGCCAGTGCAGATCTGGGTGCCTTCTCTGTGTCCTGCAAGCAGGAGTGATTGCTTAGGATGCAGAAGGATCTCTCGTTCTCCATGCAGCATTAGTGCAAAAGCAGGGTGCTGGCATGGTGGAGCTTGCTGGTTCTATGCCTGTCAAAGCTCTGTCTGCAATGGCAGTGAGCAGGGGTCAGAGGACACACTGTACTCCCGTGTGGTTGCAGGGCAAGTAAAGCAAAACATGCCTGTGCAGACATGCATCAGCAAAGTAATATGGGGAGTTTCCGTGGGCTCAGAGGAAGCTGCAGTATGGGGAGGGAATGTGCCAGCTGGTGCGTGGACATAGGGGCTGCCTTGCTGGAGCCCTCCATTGATCACATACTGTCCACTGTCTGAAAAGCTATGGTGTGGGCCCCCGGGGCATGTGAGACTGCCCTGTAAGCAGGTATGGCTAGGCTGGTGTCCCAGAAGAGGCCAGCAGACCAAGGAGTGTTCAGGTTGGACTAGCCCTATCTGATGTGCAAGACCACCCTGCAGAAATCAGGTCTGATAATTCCCCTAGGCATAAAGTCTCTTATGGGAGCAAGTTAAGTCTAGAGGGTTGGCTACAGACACACCTGCACAAAACCCTCTGGGCTCCATATCATCTGGCTTGCTGCTACACCAATTTACTTATCTCCTGGGGGCCCCACCCCAGAGAGATGTTGTTCAGTAATTGCTCAGTACAATCAGCCCAGAATGGAGGGTCTGTGCTGTGGGCCTAAACCAGGGGTTCCCTGTGTGGCAGTAAGCAATGAGATGTGTGGGGGACCCATGGGAGATGTAGTGGCCTCCTTTCCTTGGGTTGACTGCAGCTTGTTGGAAGTGTGAATGAGGCACAAAGGGTGCTTGCTCCTTTGTTAGTGAGAGGGTAGCAAGGATGGCTTCGTGTTAGATGCAGTGGCAAAGAGGCTTTCAGTTGCCCCTGGAGGCTCTGTCCAGGGAGTTGCTGAGTTGATACTGGCTGAATAGCTCTGGTAAGGGGTGGCTAGAGGACCTGACTGGTGAGAAGATATGGGAACAAGTACCCATGTAACAGTCTGGCCAATTTTCTGTAGGGCTGTTGCAGAATGCTGGGGATCTGCTCCAGTGCTTAGTCACCTCAGATTTTCCAGTACCTGGAGGTATCACAGTGAAGGCTTGCAAAACAACAAAGATGGCAGTCTGCTCCTCCCTCTAGGACCTCTGTCCCAGGGAGGTACAGGCCTGTTGCTCACCCACATGCACCTGTAAGAGGTGGCTGAAGACCAAAATTGGAAGGTCTCACCCAGTCAGGAGAAATGGGATTGAGGACCCACATATAAAAGTAGTCTGGCCACGTTTTTGTAGAGCAGCTGTGCTGTGCTGGATGTCCATTTCAGTCTCTGGTCACCTTGGATACTCTGAAACCTGAAGGCTGGAATAACTAGCCCAAATAGCAAAGATGGCGGCCCACCCCTTTCCCTGGGAGCTCCATTCCAGGGAGACCTGAAACCTCTATCAGCTGGAGAACACCAGTAGGAGTAGCTGGAGACCCTGATTGGGATACTTTACCCAGTGATGAGGAATGGGATTGGGGACCCACTCAAAAAGCAGTCTGGACATGTTTTTGTAGGGAAGCTGTGCTGTGCTGGGGTACTGCTTCCATCCCTGGTCAGCTTGGGCTTTCCAAAGCCCAAAGGCTGGAACAGCTAGTTACCAAAACAGCAAAAGTTACAGCCCACCCCTCTCTCTGGGAGCTCAAACCCAGGGAGGCGCAATGCTGCTACTTGTTGCTGGCTGGAATTCCAAGCCAGTGGGTCTTATCCTGTGAGGAGCTGTGGAAGCGGGGCCTGTAGGCCATTATTGCTCTGCCCTCTGGATTCAACATCTTTCCTAGTGGTAGGTACAGGAGTCTAACCACCCACTTTTCTGGAGTTGCAGCTACTTTTGCTGGTTTCCCTGCAAAGCTGGAGTATCTAAACTCCTGGGTCTCTGCGTATGCCTGAGTGGCTGCTCTGCTGAGACTCCACATAGCTCCTGACACATGTTTATGCGTCAGACTGAAGGCCCTTAGTGGAGCAGATTCATGAGGGATCCTCCTGACCTGAGGGTTTCAAAAATCTGTGGGAGCAGCATGGGTTCCCAGAGTGGCACATTCACTCACTGCTTCTCTGTGCAGTGGAGCTTCCCTTGGCTCTGTGTTGCTCCTGCATGAGCCGGTGTCCTGCCTTGCTTTTCTCTGTCTCCGTGGGTCACGTTGTTTCCAAGATTAGACCCAATGTAAGTACCTGAATGTTTCAGTTGAAGGTGTTGTATTTACTCACCCCTTCCATTCCTTTCCGTGAGAGCCATGCCATTTAGCTGCTTCTAGTCAGCCCGTTTGGCCACTCTACTCACATCTTCTTAAACACTTGGACTAAAACCCACTTTTGCGATAAATTTATCTCTTGTTTTACATGCCCTTTCCCTGAATCTCTCAGTGTGTATTATACAACTTACATTAATCCTGTAATTATTGATTTATTGCTTTTTGTTTCTTACTACCCTAAAAACCACATAATTTATTAATTTGCTCATCCCTAACCATCATTTAGAGGACCCACTTGCACTGTAATATATAATTATCTAGATCGAACTAACTTGTTTGTAGTTACTTTTAAATTGTGCTTTTATTCTTTTTTTTTCCCTACTCAAATGGATTTTAACTTTCTTAAATTTAGAGATTAAGTCTTCAGTTGGAATCCACTACTGGTCACAATACATCATTGTTAATTAAAATTATTTATTTTTATTAATCAAATTAGACTCTGAGACCAATTTTCTTCTGACTTTTGTAGATTGATGGAGAGGCCAAAGTCTTTCTAATATATCTTTCATGGCATAGAAAGAACTTCCAGAATTTTGCTTTATGCAGATCTAGAAGTAGACAGGTTCATTTTTGCTTGCAAACTAGCCAAATATTTTTCTAATTAATCTCTTTGAATACTTTCTCAATGCAGAACATCAGAACAGGATATACTATTACCCTGACTCTGACTCTTTGGAGCTGCATATTCAGTGGGCATATGGTTTTCCTTCCAATTTATAGCAGGCAAGAGTGTTAATAAATGTTTTGCCACTGCGTATAATGGGCCTTCATATTTTCAGCCTCCAAGTCAGTTACCTTTCTGCTCACTGCATGACCATTAAACTTATACATGTATTTTAGGTTTCTGCTATGGCAGGTATTTTTTGTTTCAAAGAATGAATTTCTGTTAAATAAAGTTATAGTAGCTATTGTAACAAATAAATCCTCAAATATGAGTGGTTTAACATTTATATAAAGTGAAAAACATAGGTTACCAATTAGCTGGGAGCTCTCATCCAAGTGGTGATTCAGTAATCCAGGCTCCTTTCATTTTGTGGCTCCTCTATATTCAACATATAACTACTGAAGTCATTGCTGACAGCAGCATGGGAAATCCCAGTAGAAATTTTTTTATGGGATAGCCTTGGAAGTATTGCCCAACACTTCCTCCTAAATTCTATTGTTCAGAAATCAGACACAAAATCTCACTTAAGCAAGGAAGCCTGAAAAATGTAGTAGAACTGTGTGATTAGGAGAAAGTAATGGGTTTGGTGAGTACATATTAGTATCTCTCACATTGGGAGAAATGGCTTTTTATATGTTTTTAAGAAACAAATTTTGTTATCTTTCTCTCCATTGGCTCCATTGCCCCAGCAAAGTAGTAGAACAAAAATAATATATTTTAAAATTTAACATTATATATTAATGATAATGCTTAAACAGTTGTATTTACCTGTTTCTAAAAGAAAAAAAAAAGAGAGGCAAAGCAAGATGGCAGAATAGAAAGCTCCACTAATCATTGCCCCAGCAAAGACACCAAGTTAACAAAAGAAAAATCTGTATAAGAACCAAAAATTAGGTATCTGGTATTAAATTCATATTGCTGGAAGAGGCACTGAAGTGATAGAAAAAAACGTCCAGAATCGCTGGTGCCACCCCTCCCCCACCCCAGGCTTGGGGGCATGGTGCAGAGAGCTTCTCTGGGTGCTGGGGGAAGAAGAACACAGCAATTGTGAGGCATTGAACACAGTATTGTTCTGTTAGAACAGAAAGGAAAATCACACCAAACTTAGCTGATGACCACCCACACAGGGAGCATTTAAACCAGCCCTAGCCAGATGGGAATCACCAACCTCAGTGATCTGAACTTGAGTGTCTGCAAACCTCACCATGAAGGGCAAAGTGCTCTCAGTCTCTAAGTAAACTTGAAAGGCAGTCTAGGCCACAAAGACTTCAAATCTCAGGTGAGTCCTAAGACTGAAGTGGCCACAGAGACAGTAGATTGCAGAGGCACACAACATACTGAGACACCAGCTAGGGAAGCAAAAGGAGTGCTCCTATCACCTAACTCCAAAGTGCACAGATCATGGCTCCAAAAGAGACACCTTCCTTTCTTTTGAGGAGAGGAGAGGGAAGAGTGGGGAGACTTTGTCTCGCATCTTGGATAGCAGCCCAAACACAGTAGGATAGGGTACCAACCTGAGTCATGAGTTCCCCTATCCCAGGCCCTAGCTCCTAGGTGACATATTTATACACGCCTTGGGCCAGAAGGGAACCGGTTGCTTTGAAGAAAAGAACCCAGTCCTGTCAGCATTCATTGCCTCCTAAGTGAACAGCCTTGGGCCCTGAAAAACCAACAGCAATACCTGGTACTATAGTGAGGGCCTTGGTGAGTCTCTGAGATGTGCTGGCTCCCAGGAGAAACTTAGCACATTATTAGCTGAGGTGGTTAGGGGGCAAAACTCTTTCTGCTTGAGAAAAACTGAGAGAAAAGTAAAGGGGACTTTGTCTTATATCCTAGGTACCAACAACACAACAGGTAGGTAGAACACCAAGTGGGCTCTTGGAGTCCCTGATTCCAGGACTTGACTCTTGGATGGCATTTCAGGACCAGCCCTGGGACAGAAGGGAAACCACTGCATTAAAGGGTGAGTCCCAGGCCACGGAGCATTCACCACAAGCTGACTAAAGTGACCCTGGGCCTTAACTAAACATCTGTGGTAGTCTTGCAGTATTCCTTATGTCCAGGGGTGGTGGTGGAGCTCCAATATGTCTGGAAGCAGACTTTTTAGTGGAAACCTTATGGGCCAGGAGAGAATGGCATGACATATTTAAAGTACTGAAGAAAAACAAACAAAAACAAACAAACAAAAAAACTTTAATTCTAGAATAGTATACCCAGCAAAACTACCCTTCCAACATGAAGAAGAAATAAAGGTTTTCTTAGACAAATGAAAGCTGAGGAAATTCATCAATACCAGACCTGTCCTAAAAGCAATGCTAAAGGGAACACTTCAATTAGAAAGAATAGGACATTAATGAACAATAAGTAATCAATTAAAGGTACAAAACTTACTGGTAATAGTATGTACACAGAAAAACAGAATATTATAACACCGTAACTTTGGTTGAGTAAACTGCTCTAATCCTAACTAGAAATACTAAATAATGAACCAATCAAAAATAATAGCTCCAACAACTTTTCAAGACATAGGCAGAAAAATAATACACAAATAGAAAGAACAAAAAGTTAAAAAGCAGGAAGATAAAGTTAAGGTGAGATTTTATTAGTTTTCTTTTTTAATTTTTTGTTTGTTTCTTTATGTGAATAGTGTTGGGCTTTTATCAGGATAAAATAATGGGTTATAATACAGTATTTGAAAGCCTCATGGTAACCTCAACCTAAAAATATAAAATAGGCACACAAAAGTTAAAAAGCAAGTAAGTAAATCATATCATCAGAGAAAATGATCCTCACTAGTGGAAGACAGGGAGGAAAGAAAGAAGAAAGAGAAGATCACAAAACCACCAGAAAAAATAAAAATTAAAAAATGTCAGGAGTAAGCTCTTACTTATCAATAATAACATTAAATGTAAATGCACTGAACTCTGCCTGAATGCATGGAAAAACAAGGCCAATTGATCTGTTGCCTATAAGAAACACACTTCAATCATAAAGACACACATAGACTAAAAATAAAGGAAAAGAAAAAATATTCCATGCCAATGGAAATCAAAAAAGGGCAGGAGTCACAATATGTATATCAGACAACATAGATTTCAAGATGAAAACTATAAGAAGAGAAAAGGAAGGTCATCATATAATGACAAAGAGGTCCATTCAGCAAGAGGATATAATAATTTGAAATATATATGCACCCAACACTGGAGCACACAGATGTATAAAGCGAATATTTTTAAAGCTAAAGAGAGAGATAGGCCCTTATACAATTATAGCTGGAGACTTCAACACCTCATTATTACTTATTGTTCACTTCCAGCATTGGACAGCTCTTCCAGACAGAAAATCAACAAAAAAACCCATCAGACTTAATCCGCGCTATGAACTAAATGGATTTAATAGATATTTACAGAACATTTCATTGAAGAGCTGCAAAATACACATTCTTTTTCTCAGCACATGGATAATTCTCAAGAATAGACAATATGTTAGGTCACAAAAGAATTCCTGAAACATTAAAAAAAGAAATAATCTAAAGCATCTTCTCTGACCACGATAGAATAAAACTAGAAATTAATAACAAGAAAAATTTTGGAAACTATACATGGAAATTACATGGAAATTAAAAAATATGCTACCGAATGACCAGTGAGTCAATAAAGAAATTAAGAAAGAAATTGAAGTTTTTCTTGAAACAACTGATAATGAAAATACAACATACCAAAACCTATCAGATACAGCAAAAGCAGTGCTGAGAGGAAAACTAAGGGGTGTAAGTGCCTACGTCAAAAAAAGAGAAAAAACTTCAAATAAACAATCTAATAATGCATATTATCAATCTAGAAAAGCAAGAGTAAATCAAATCCAAAATTAGCAGAAGAAAAGAAATAATAAAGATTAGAGCAGAAATAAATAAAATTGAAATAAATATAGAAATTAATGAAACAAAAAGTTGTTTCTTTGAAAATTTAAACAAAATTGACAAAACTTTATCCAGACTAAATAAGAAAAAGAGAGAAGCTACAATAAATAAAATCAGAAATGAAAAAGGAGGCATTACACCTGACATTGCAGAAATTCAAAGGATTATTAGTGACAACTATGAGTACCTATATGCCAATAAATTTTAAAAATCCAGAAGAAATGGACAGATTCTGGTTCAACCTGCCAAGATTGAACCAGAAACAACTCTAAAACATGAACAGACCAATAACAAGTAATGAGATTGAAGCCATAATAAGGACTCTTCCAGAAAAAAAAAAGTCCTGCACACTGATGGCTTTACTGCTGAATTCTACCAAACTTTTAAAGAAGTAATGTAAATCCTATTCTCCTATTAAAACTATTCTGAGAAACAGAGAAGAAATGAATTCTTCCAAATTCATTTCAAGAGTCCAGTATTACCCAGAAACAAAAACATGACAAAGACACATTAAAAAAAAAATACTATAGACCAATATCCTATAGGCCAATATCTCTGATAAATATTTATACAAAAATCCTCAACGAAATCCTATCAAACTAAATTCAACAATACATTAGAAAGATCATTCAACATGACCAAGTGGGATTTATCCCTTGGATGCAAGGATGGTTCAACATATGCAAATCAATCAATGTGATACATCACATGAACAGAACTGAAAACAAAACCACATGAGTATCTTAATTGATGGTGAAAAAGCATTAGCTAATGTTTAATATTCATTCATGATAAAATCCTTAAAAAAAACTGGGTGTAGAAGGAACATACTTCAACATAATGAAAGCCATGTATGACAGACCCACAGCTAGTATCATACTGAATAGGAAAAAAGAAATGGAAAGCCTTTTCTCTAAGATCTGAAGCAGCACAAGTATGTGCACTGTCACTACCGTTATTCAACATAGTACCAGAAAGCCTAGCTAGAAGAATCAGACAAGAGAAAGACATAAAGGACATCCAAATTGAAAAGGAAGAAGTCAAGTTATCCTTGCTTGCTGATTATATGATCTTATATTTAGAAAAACCTAAAGACTCCACAAAAATTATTAGAGCTGATTTTAAAAATCAGTAATGTTGCAGAACACAAAATCAACACACAAAAATCAGTAGCATTTCTATATGCCAACAGTGAACATGTGAAAGGGAATTTAAAAGTTATCCAATTTACAGTAGCCACGCATACAATAAAATACTTAGAAATTAACTTACCCAAACAAGTGAAAGATCTCTATAATGAAAATTATAAAACATTGATGAAAGAAATTGAAGAGGACCCCAAAAAATGAAAAAATATTTTATGTTCATGGGTTGGAAGAATCAATATTGTTAAAATGTCCTTATTTCCCAAAGCAATCTACAGATTCAATGAAATCCCTGTCAAAATACCAATGACATTCTTTGCAGAAATAGAAAAAAAAAAACCGTGAAATGTATATGGAACCACCAAAGACCCAGAATAGTATATGCTATCCTGAGCAAAAGGAACAAAACTGGACAAGTCACATTGTCTGACTTCAAATTTTACTACAGAGCCATGGTAACCAAAACAGCATGCTGGCAAAAAAGCAGACACATAGATCAATGGAACAGAATAGAGAATTCAGAAGCAAATTCGCACAGCTACAATGAATTGATTTTTGACAAAGATGCCAAGAACATACACTGGGGAAAAAATTGTCTCTTCAACAAATGATGCTGGGGAAACTTGATATCCATATGAAAAGAATGAAACTAGACCCTGTGAAAGGAAAATAAATCTTTGGACCCCCAAATCACTAAGCTAAAGGAAAAAAGTCAAGCTGGGAAATGCTTAGGGTAAACCTGCCTTCCATTCTATTCAAAGTCATCCCTCTGCTCACTGAGACAAATGCATATCTGATTGCCTTCTTTGGAAAGCTTAATCAGAAACTCAAAATAATGTAACCATTTGTCTCTTATCTACCTATGACCTGAAAGCCCCCTCTCAACTTCAAGTAGTAATGCCTTTGCTTTGAGTCGTCCTGCCTTTCTGCACCAAATGAATGTTTCATCTTACATATATTGATTAATGTCTCATGTCTCCCTGAAATGTATAAAACCAAGCTGTGCTCGGACCACCTTGGGCACATGTGGTCAGGACCTCCTGAGGCTGTGTAATTGGTGTGCATCCTTAACTTTGGCAAAATAAACTTCCTAAATTGACTGAGACCAGTCTCATTTATTTGGGGTTCACAACCCCTCTCTCTCCCCATATATAGAAATCAAATCAAAATGAATTAAAGGTTTAAATCTAAAACCTCAAACCATGAAACTACTGCAAGGAAACATTGGGGAAACTCTTCAGGACATTGGTCTGGGCAAAAATTTCCTGAGCAGTACCCCACAAGCACAGTCAACCAACGCAAAAATGAACAAATGGGATTACATTAAGTTAAAAAGCTTCTTCGCAGCAAAATATACAATCAAGAAAGTGAACAGGCAACCCACAGAATGGGAGAAAACATTTGCAAACTACCCATCTGAGAAGAGATTAATAACCAGAATATATAAGTAGCTCAAACAACTGTAGAGGGAAAAAAATATAATCTGATCAAAAAAGTGTACAAAATATTTGAATAGACATTTCTCAAAAGAAGACATGCAAATTGCAAACAAGCATATGAAAAGGTGCTAAACATCATTGATCATCACAGAAACGCAAATCACAACTACAATAAGAGAGATATCATCTCGCTCCGTTAAAATGGCGTATATCCAAAAGACAGGCAAAAACAAATACTGGCAAGGATGTGGAGAAAAAGGAACCCTTATACACCATAGATGGGAATAGGAATTAGTAAAACCACTCTAGAGAACAGTTTGGAAGTTTCTGAATAACCTAAAAATTGAACTACTCTGATTCAGCAATCCCACTGCTGAGTATATACGCCAAAGAAAGGAATTCAGTATATCAAAGTGATATCTGCATTCCCATGTTTGTTGCAACACTGTTAACAGTAGCTAAGATTTGGAAGCAACCTAAGTGTTCATCAACAGATGAATGGATAAAAAAGTTCCAAATGTTGCTCATGTAGTCATCTAATTCACTACACTGAGTTTTAGTATCAAGAAAACACCATGACAGCAAAGTTTCCTTGTTTTTTGTGGCATAACGGTATTCATGAGATAACTCATCATCTCTTTTATGAAACCAAGACTGGGATGCTTATGGCGTTTTGCAATTGTAGTACTCATTAGAGACACTCTTGTTGGCAGTTTTGTAGCCACATGAAGCTCCAGTAACAACAATGTTTGGGAATAATGGAGGTTATATTAGAAGTACAGATTTTACAAATCAAACCTAAAACATTTTGTCATTTTATGTTAAAATCATACAGCTAGTGATTATAATTAAGTTTCTAACTATTTAAAAGGCAGTACGTAATTTTATGTTGTCATTTTTTAAACAAAAGAATCTCTTAAACCTCAATGGCAATATTGACTACATAAAATCAAAAGTGTACCCATCTTGTGATATCATTGGTCTGTCACAACTGATTACCCCATTAACAAAAACTAAATACTGAGTTCCACAGGCAGCTGTGCTAAGTATTGTTTAAAGGCATTAAGCACTTACTGGAATTAATTAATCATATTTGAAGGTAAAAGAAACAAATTTTCTTCAAATTTCATCTAGGTGTATACAATAGAGAATTTACAAATTTGGAAGCTCAGAATAGAGCAGTTCTGTTTTTATATTTTACCTCAAATGTTGAGAGGCAAATAACAGTTACATAGCTGAGTGATTATTGATCCATCTTCATATTGGCTTTTCAAACCAGATAAACTAACATTAAATTCACAAAGATCACAGACTGAAAATTTGTAATATTCTTGAGTGACCTGTAAGAAAAATGATTAGTGGTTTCTGTTATAGACATTAATGTTATTGAAAAGTTTGGTGAAGGGAGTAGTCTTACCGACTTTCTTCATTCTGATAGCAGAATTGAGCTAGGTCCTTTAAGAACAAAGCTTTTATATGCAGAGGCTTTATCTTTAAGGCTCCACTGCTTTATTGTTTTTAGATACAGTAAAACCAGGATATAAAAATGAGGTCTAAATAATTGTTCCGAGTCTAAATGGTGACTATATTAAAAGGTATATATTAATTTACATGATTGCTACAGCTTTATGCTTAATATGCAAATTATTACAGTAGTGTATATGGTATCAAACATAAAAGAAGTTTTGTCATGACTGTAAATGTGCAGCTAATGTATAGATTCTTATTAAAGAAAAGGATGAGCATAATAAAAATAAACATGAGATTTCTTTAGTTATTGTATTATTTAATCAGTAGCTCAAATTAATGTTTGAGCATTTGCCAATGAGTTGTAGAAGTAGCAAAATAAGTTTTAGAAAATAAGTTCGTGAAACTGTGAGTATGAAAGAGATCTCATATCAACAGTCAATAAAAAGGAAATAGATTTGGTATAATATTGTTTCATATTGCCTTCTTTTCCTTGAAAAATGTTCTTTTCCAAAAATTGTTTATTTATGACATTCAATAAGTGATGAACAACTGGCTATAGGTGGCTCATAATAATCTTTTCAACCTTCAGTTGAAAATGTAATTTTCTAAATCTCAGAGGAAGAGAAACCATCCTAATATAATGTATCATCTTCAGCTCTACAGGTTGAAGATTTGTTGCATTTTAAAAAGTCTCACCCTGATGGGAGAAGAATGCAAGATAAACTTTATTACTGTAAAGCAATTAAGTGAAAATTAGACAATCACAAGGTGGGAAAAGCTGATTAATTAGAAGACCAGAAAAGCACAGCAGGCTTCTGAGATGAAATACTTATGAAATAGCAAGTATATGTAATAGTGTTTATGATAGATCAACATTCATTGCAAAGTTACTGAATATTAGAATAATGATATCTTTTTGAAAACATAAATTGGTACATTTTGGGAAAAGGATGACCTTATAAATCTTAGATCTGAAGAAATTTATTTTTTATTCACTTCGTTTTCACTTCCCTTCTTCTGCCCCATTAATTCATTTTTTAGTAGAACTAAACTCATTCCATCATAAAAGGTCATATTTAAGAAACCAAAATGTATTCTAGAGTAGTTATGCTGATGAATAATTTTAGACACTAGTTCAGAGGCTGAGAAAGGAAACGTAAGTCTGTAAAATTTGAACTATGTCTCACTTTGCACCCTTATTGAATACTTCATGTTAAAACCATATGATGACGGTTTTTAAAGCTATTCCAATATGTATTCACAAGACCGTCCTATGAGTTTCATTAGCTATTGTGAAATTATGTTTTTAGTACATTAATTCTTTGTACTATTAGTACCAAAAGAAGCCTCATAAATGTAAAATATTAAAAATGTTACTGTAAAATAAGCAATATTGAATATATATATATATATATATATATATTTTTTTTTTTTTTTAGACGGAGTCTCACTCTGTGGCCCAGGCTGGAGTGCAGTGGCGGGATCTCGGCTCACTGCAAGCTCCGCCTCCCGGGTTCACGCCACTCTCCTGCCTCAGCCTCCCGAGTAGCTGGGACTACAGGCGCCCGCCACCACGCCCGGCTAATTTTTTGTATTTTTAGTAGAGACGGGGTTTCACCGTGTTAGCCAGGATGGTCTCGATCTCCTGACCTCGTGATCCGCCCGCCTCGGCCACCCAAAGTGCTGGGATTACAGGCGTGAGCCACCGCGCCCGGCCCAATATTGAATATTTTTAATTCTTTCTTGGGAATCTTAATCCCTTGTCACCAGATAGAAGTCATCTAATCTGGCAAAGCTGTCAAGAGTTGGTATCTGGCCACTATTTCCATTTTTATAAATTAATTTTTAGACAAAATTAAAGTCTTTTGTTTACTTAAACCTAAATACTGATCAATAAATTGTCTCATCTGAAATAAATAATTTCCAGTAATCAAATTATTATTAGTTTTGGGCTTGGCCAATAATCTTCTTCTTAAAGGGGATAGTAATCTCTATTGAAACAGTGGTGCTGTGAAATTGAATATGAGATTTTCATGAGAAGGAGACAGGTAGGATAAAAAAACACCTAAAAGTAGAATTTGCTTTGAGGAGACATTCTAAAAGAATGTCTAGTTACTGGTTTTATTTCCAAACAATCATTTTACATAATTTATCATTTCCTACCTTATGTAAGTAAACACTTTGATAGTTGCTGAGATGTTTATGAACAATATAGGTGGAATTTATTCTGACTATAGGTTAGGAACTTTGTTGTTAACAATTAATTTGTTCCATAGACTATTAAAAACATGAAGATAAAGTAGTCATGTATAGAGTAGAATGTTTTCCTCTTTCATTGTCAAGCTACCATTGTAATTACCTTATATTTTGCTTAAGAAATGCACTCAGAGACTATTGCAGTTTAGTGGCACACCATAAAATGTAGCTACAAACAGAACTACTTGAGAACAAGTGAACAAGTTACCATAAATTAATAATAGCAAAAGCAATTGTGCACACAACTCCTTTGGGAAACTGAAGATTCTCTGGAAGAAACATTCAATAATGAAACTAGCAGCCTGTCAGTATGTTCTTAAAACATTTCAAATATTTAAACAGATTTTGTATTATTATATTCAGAACTTTAAAAAGTCAACCACACCTAAATGCTCCCCCTTATGACATTTTGTTTTTACCGAAACCTAGCTAATTTTTGTGTATGTTTGGGAATGGGGTATGTGGAGATTTCCTAGACACTCTTCCTGTGTATGTATTCATTCTTAAAGGGCGGGGGGGAAGAAAATAATCATATATTTAGCTTGGTAATACCTTGGCCATGTGTTACAGTGTCTGAACTTTCATAAAACTGGCATTTTTGCTAATGCTCTTATGAAAATCCATTTGAAAGTGACTCAATGTTCTTGTAGTCCATATATATATATATATATTTGTTTGTATGTTCCGTTTTTTTTTTTTTTTTTTTTTTTTTTTTGAGACGGAGTCTCGCTCTGTCGCCCAGGCTGGAGTGCAGTGGCGCGATCTCGGCTCACTGCAAGCTCCGCCTCCCGGGTTCACGCCATTCTCCTGCCTCAGCCTCCCAAGTGGCTGGGACTACAGGCGCCCGCCACTACGCCCGGCTAATTTTTTGTATTTTTTTAGTAGAGACGGGGTTTCACCGTGTTAGCCAGGATGGCCTCGATCTCCTGACCTCATGATCCACCCGCCTTGGCCTGCCAAAGTGCTGGGATTACAGGCATGAGCCACCGCGCCCGGCCATATTTTTAAAAACCTAATATTTTGTTCAGATTCAAACATCACATTTGAAATCTTACTCTGAATTCAAAACGTATTTTCCACCTCTGCTTTAAAATATAATTAAGCACATGTGCTTTTTATTACACTATTACACATGTATTCAGCCTCTTATTTAGTGGTGGGACTACAGAGATGGAATAAACACCCAATTCTACCTGTGTTCGATGCAGTTTACTTAATGAAGTAAGCATGAAAATATAATTTCATTGCAATGTGTGAATTGCCATGGAAGGTATGAGAAAATTGGTTCAGAAAAAAGGAAAGATTGACAAATACTCTCTAAGAGAGTCAGAAAAACATGTATTAAAAAGCTGAGGTTTGTTCAGTGTCCCAAAGGATAAACACTTCACCTAGTATATCCACACACACACACAGAAAGTGTCTTTGAGGTTTTTTAATAAAGTAATTCCCCTAAATTTATTCATGGAATGTTTTTGACCACTTTGTCAGTGCTTTACATGAATTTGAATAAAAATTTAAAGTATACTTTGGAGAATAAAGAAGTATTTTTCAAAAATAGTTAAATAAAATTACATTAATTATTAGTTTTTTAAATGCAACTTTTCACATATTTGACTCCCAGAGTGGAAACCAGTTCCTGTTAATTAGTTGTTACTTTAGGTCGGTTGGCCTTAGGAAGCAAGCTCATATGTTGGTCATTATAACTAGAGGTAGTACACTTTGCAAACACGATCTGTTCCTTCAGTTGCTTCACTTTCTTTTACAAATGAATGTATTCCTCCTTCTGGGAGGCAGTATATTGTTGTGGATAAGAGCAAGTATCAAGAACAAATCTATCTGCATTTCAGCATCTTTATATCATTTACTAGCAACATAATCATGGGCAAGTTACTTGCAGCCTCAGAGTCTGAGATTGCTCACTTCTGAAATAATGATACTAGTATGTCTTTATATATATTAAATTATTTAACATCCATAAAACCTGTGGGGCATAGTATTGGCCACAATATGTCATTTCATTTATTTTAATACATACAAGCATTTTCTTTTTGTCTTCAACTTTAAGTCTACTTCATTCTCAGAATTCTCTTAATATTTTTATCTAAAATAGTATGTTCTATACTTTTCTGCCAATACTGAACCTTTTTTTTGAAGATGAGTTTAGAAACAACTGTTTGCTGTTGCTATTTACAAAAGTTAATGTAGAATGCATGTTGAAGTTACAATGCAATATAATTACCTCCACCAATAGAAACAAATCACCCTTGGAGTATATAAAAAATCCTCAGTCATTTCTTACTGCCTAACAAGTTTTTTTTTAATGATAGTTAGGAGCATAAATTTCATTTATTTGTTTCTTTGATGATATGTTTTTTCTTTTTGAATGGAAATATGTGCAAATAATATATAGGTAAGTCTTTAAAACATAGATAGTAAATAGCTTAAATGTAAATAATATTAACACATTTCAAGAACAAAAAAAGCTAAATATTTATTACATATGTATAAACCTGTAAATTTCACATAACACACATTGAAGAAATGAAAACTACAGCAAAAAAAAACCTACATCCACAGATATGTATCTGTCATGTGCCAAATCTTTTTATTTTTCCTGAATTTTACAAAATGAAGTATTATCTGGTATCTTCAAGCTTTATAACTATCAAATGGTCTATATGAATCCGTGGTTTATAGCTATTGATCATATATTTGAATACAGTTATGTGTTGATTAATGACAGGAATACGTTCTGAAAAATGCATCATTAGAAATTTTTTTTTTCATTGTGTGAACATCATAGAGTGTACTTACGTAAATCTTGATGGTACAGCCTACCACACACCTAGGCTACATGTTATAGTCTATTGCTCTTACACTACAAACCTGTATACAATGTTACTGTATTGAATCCTGTAGGCAACTGTAACACAATGGCAAGCATTTCTATATCTAAATATATCTAAACATAGAAAGAGTATGATAAAAAATGGTATTATGATCTGATGAGGCCACTATCATATATCAGCTATCATTACTATAATACTGAAACAAAATATTGGCATATTATTGTATATCATTATGTTGTGCATAAGTGTATCAAATATAAGATAGAAGATTTTATCAGATATCAACAATTAGAGGGCATGGTAACAATTGTTTATAGAAAGTATGGTATGTTTTTATTGACATGCTCAAGAGGATTGTAAAGGCACATGTCAACCTTATTATATAAATGAAAATATCTTCCTATATCTTGAGTTACTCAGTGCACTGGGTGGGAGGCTATAGTCTTTAAGAATAATTGACCGTGATAGACTGAAATATTCTACACAGTTAACTGACTTTATGAGGTTTAATTCTCAGTTCAGAGGCTTACAGTAATAACTATGGCACATACACTGAATTATCATAAATGCTCATGGTAGCAGCACTAATGAAAAAATGACGTGATGCATATCGGACTATTAAAAGTCAGGAACAAGTAAGGCTAAAGAAAGAAAATGAGAAACTTATAAGGAGCTTAATGCAATGTTCAAACTGTCCAAAGGCAAACACTCATTTGCTGCTTAATCTATTAATATATATAAACCCATGGATATTAAAGAAAGTACATAATATGCCAATTCTGTTTCAAAATATTTTAAATGCTGTGAAAAAAAAATTGACTTAATATAATAAAAACGCTGGTTTATTATGGTTAATAATGTTAATGAGCCTTTCATAACTTTGCCCAGGGCACTACTATGACTGCCAGTAACAAAAAAAATAGCCATTGAGTTTCTCTGAACAGCTATCATTACCATAATACTTAAACAAAATATTGTCTTGATTTGAGTGCAGCACAGAACTTTCTATATTACTTTATAAAAATCTTAAAATATTCTATTTTTGCAGAGAAAGAGATTTTTAAATGTTTCTCAATTATTAATCAATGGGAAGTTAACTGCAAAGATGACACAGATACTTATTTACAGTATGTAAAAAATCAAGAATATTTATTTTTGGAAGGCTAAACAAAATTGATAAATGTGTAGCCAGAGTATCTAAGAGAAAAAGAGAGAAGATACAAATAAATAAAAGCAGAAATGAAAAAGTAGACATTAGAACTGATACTGCAGAAATTTAAATTCATTAGGGGCTACTATGAGCAGCTATATGCCAATAAATTGGGAAAACTAGATGAAGTGAATAAATTTTTAGACACATACAATCTACCAAGATTAAACCATGAAGAAATCCAAAACCTGAACAGAACAATAACAAATAACAAGATCAAAGGCATAATAAAATCCTCCCAGTAAAGAAAAGCCTGGGACCTGATGGCTTCATTGCTGAATTCTATCAAACATTTAAAGAAGAACAAATAACATTCTTACTCAAACTATTCCAGAAAATAGAAGAGGAGGGAACACCTTCAAACTCATTCTATGAGGCCAGTATTACCTTGATACCAAAACCAGACAAACACCTCAAACAAAACAAAACAAAACAAAACAAAACAAAACAAAACAAAAACTACAGACCAATATCTCTGATGAATATTCATGCAAAAATTCTCAATGAAATACTAGAAAACCAAGTTCAACAATACATTAGAAAGATCATTCATCATGACCAAGTGGGATTTATCCCTGTGATGCAAGGATGGTTTAACATATGCAAATCAGTCAATGTGACCCATCATATCAACAGAATGAGGAAAAATATCATAGTCATTTTAATTGATGCCCAAATAGCATTTGATAACTTTTAACTTCCCTTATGATAAAAACTCTCAAAAAACTGGGTGTAGAAGGAATATACCTCAACATAAAAGTCAAGTATGACAGACTCACAGCTGGTATCCTACTGAACAAGAAAGAACTGAAAGCCTTTTTTCTAAGATCTGGAACACAACAAGGATGCCCACTGTCACTGCTGTTATTTAACATAGAAATGGAAGTCCTAGTTAGAGCAATCAGACAAGAGAAAGATATAAAGGATATCTGAATTGGAAAGGAAGAAGTCAAATTATACTTGTTTGCAGATGATATGATTTTACATTTGGAAAATACTAAATACTCCACAAACACACACACACATACACACACACACACACACACACACACACACACACACAACAATTAAAACTAAAAAGCAAAAAAATGTTGGAGAATACAAAATTAACATAAAAAATCAGTAGCATTTCTAAATGTCAACAGGGAACAATCTGAAAAAGAAATTTAAAAAGTAATTCCATTTACAATAGCCACACACAAAACTAAATACCTAAAAATTAACCAAGCAGGTGAAATATCTCGATAATGAAAATTATAAAACACTGAGGAAAGAAGTTGAAAAGGACACCAAGAAATGGAAAAATAGTCAATGTTCATGGATTGGAAGAATCAATATTGTTAAAATGCCTTTATTCTCCAAAGCTATCTACAGATTCAATGCAATCCCTGTCAAAATACCAGTGAATTCTTTGCATAAATAGGAAAAACTATCCTAAATTTTATACAGAACCACAAAAGGCCCAGAATAGCCCGCACTATCCTGAGCAAAAGAACAAAGCTCGAGGAATCACAGTACCTGACTTCAAATTATAATACAGAGCTATAGTAACCCAAACAGTATGGTACTGGCTTAAACAAAAACAGACACATAGACCAATGGAACAGAAGAGAGAACCCAGAAACAAATCCACATACCTACAGTGAGCTCAATTTCCACAAAGGTGCCAAGAACATACACCGAGGAAAAAACAGTCTCTTCAATAAATTGTACTGGGAAAACTGAGTATCCATATGCAGAAGAATGAAAATAGACCCTATCTCTTGACACATACACAAATCAAATAAAAATGGATGAAAGACTTAAATCTAAGACATAAACTATGAAATTACTTCAAGAAAACTTTGGGAAACGTCTTCAAGACATTGGTCTGGGCAAAAGTTTCTTGAGCAATACCCCACAAGTGGCAACCAAAGACAAAATGGATCACATCAATTTAAAAAGCTTCTGCACAGCAAAGAAAACTATCAACAAAATGAAGAGATAACCCACAGCATGGAAGAAAATATTTGCAAACTATCCACCTGACAAGGGATTAATAACCAGAAGACATAAGTAGTTCAAACAACTCTGTAGGAAAGTATCTAATAGTTCAATAAAAAGCTGGGCAAAACATTTAAATAGACATTTCTTAAAAGAAGACATACAAATGGCAAAAGTGCTCAACGTCATTGATCATCAGAGAAATGAAAAGTAAAAGTACAATGAGATATTCTCTTACCCCAGTTAAACTGTCTTTTATCCAAAGACAAGCAATAACAAATGCTGGTGTGAATGTGGAGAAAAGAGAATCCTCACACACTGTTGGTGGGAATGTAAATTAGTACAACCGCTGCAGAAAACAGTTTGGAGCTTCCTCAGAAAAGCAAAAAATAGAGCTACCATATGATCCAGCAATCCCATTACTGGGTATATACTCAAAAGAAAAGAAATAAGTATATCAGAGAAATATCTGCATTCCCATGTTAGTTGCAGCACTGTTCACATAGCTGATAAGGAAGCAATTTCAGTGACCATCAACAGATGAATGGATAATGTTCTAATATACATAATGGCATACTATTCGGCCATGAAAAAAAGAATGAGATTCTGTCATTTGCAACAATATGGATGGAACTGGATGTCATTATGTTAAGAGAAGTAAGCCAGGCTAAGAAAAACAAACATCACATGCTTTCACTTATCTGTGGGATCTAAAAATCAAAACAATTGAACTCATGGACATGTGCAGTAGAAAAATTGTTACCAGAGGCTGGAAAGGGTAGTGGGGGTTTGGGAAGCAGGTAGGGAGTGTTAATAGGGAATGTTAATAGTTAGAAAGAATGAATAAGACCTACTATTTGATAGCACAACAGGATAGTTGATAATAATGTGTACATTTTAAAATAACTAAAATAGGCCGGGCTTAGTGGCTCAAGCCTATAATCCCAGCACTTTGGGAGGATGAGGAGGGCTGATCACTTGAGGTAGGGAGTTTGAGACCAGCCTGACCAACATGGAGAAAACCCGTCCCTACTAAAAATACAAAATTAGTCGGGAGTGGTGGCGCATGCCTATAATCCCAGCTACTCGGTATGCTGAGGCAGGAGAATCGCTTGAACCCAGGAGGCAGAGGTTGCAGTGAGCTGAGATTGCACCATTGTGCTGCAGCCTGGTCGACAAGAGCAAAACTCCATCTCAAAAAATAAATATAAATAAAAAAATACATACATAAATACATGAATAAAATAAAATAACTAAAATAATGTAATTGGGTTGCTTGTAACACAGAGGATAAATGCTTGAGTGGATGGATATCTCATTCTCAATGATGTGATTATTTCACATTACATGCCTGTATCAAAATACTAATATCTCATGTACCCCATAAATATATCACCTACTATGATCCCACAAAAATGAAAAGAGTTTTTTAAAAAATCAAGAATACATAGATGTTCTAGAGGTTATATTACTTACCTTAGATGTATTCTGGAGAATCTCCCTTGCCTACTTTGTACCTTTGTGTCCAAGTAGCCTTTTTGAGCTACTCTAGAGCAAGTAAAAATCTTTGACCTCCCAGGTAGTCTTCTGATTCTTCATAACTGGGTGCTGAATGAACACAGACTATGAATATATTATTTTTTGCAAGTCCAGCTAGGCTAAGGCATAATAAAGAAATAAACATAGTAAGGAAAAGGGTTACAGTTATATAGGGTCCCTATAAAGGGTTAGGGTTCTGTTGGGATAAAGTGTAGAATAAAATAGTTTGTTTAAGAGAGTGAATAAGAGTATTTATTGGAAAATACAAGCAACTCCAGAGTCTTTATGGATCCACAATTTGAAGATTTTTATGAGAATAATTAGACTTATTAATCATTTTTGATATTCAATATTGACTGTGAACTTTCTATTTAGCAGGTACTATCCTCATGTTATGGCTTGGATATAGTTTGCTTGTCCCCAACAAAACTCATGTTGAAATTTGATCCCCAGTTTTGTTGTATTGGAAAGTGGGGACTAAAGGGAGGTGTTTGGATTATGAGGATGAATCTCTCATAAATTACGTGGCGTGGTTTGTGGTAGAGAATAAGTTCTCATTCTCAAGAGACTGAAAATATTCTCTTGAGAGTGGGTGTTAAAATTTAGCCTAAAGCTGTCTGCTTACATATTTTAAGCTTGTCCTGAAACATTTCTCAGTATTTAGTGAACTGTAAACTAATTGGATGTGTAAATAGACTATAATTTCCTACTGTACGAATTACTGAGTTGCAGCTAGCCACAGGCAGCCAACTGTTCAAACTGTGTACAAATAAGGCAAAGGCCAGGCTGTAACCAATCCAGCTGTTTCTGTATTTCACTTCTATTTTCTGTACATCACTTTCCTTTTTCTGTCCAAAAATCCTATCCGACCGTACAGCATCTTGGAATCTTCCTCAAGCTATTCTGGTTAGGAGGTAATTCCACATTCACAAATTGTTCTTTGCTTAATGAAACTCTGTTAAATTCAATATGTTTGAGGTTTTTCTTTTAACAGTGGGTTCTTATAAAAGCAGGATGCCCCTCATGTTTTGTCTCTGTACGTGTGTCTGCTTCTCCATTGACTTTCTCTGGCATGTTATAATGCAGTACAAAAGTCCTCATGAGAAGCCAAGTACATCTTCCTAGCCTGAAGATCTTTCATCCCTTGATCTTCCTAGCCTGAAGAATTGTGAGCTAAATAAACCTATTTTTCTAAAATAAATTACTCAGCCTCAGGTTTTCTGTTATAGCAACACGTAATGAACTAAGACACCTCAGTATTAAAGCCTATAAGGTCAACGTTATTTTTATCTTTGCTTTACAGATGAAGAAACTGAGGCAAGAGAGGCCAGTCACTTACCAAAGTTCAAATAGTTAATAATTTTGGAAGTGGAATTTAAATACAATAAGTTTGCCCTAAGAGTTTATGTTCCTAATCCACATAGAGTTTAGCAGGATGAAGGTAGACACATGAAGCTTTCTCATATAAAACAAAGAGGAACAAAGGTGAGACTGTTTGCAAGATGAGATATTAAATTCTGCACTTGTAAAGTGCAAATTATCCATATGAAGAAAAGAAGAAATAAGTGATTATGTGGGTAGACTTAGGCCCCAAAATCTAGAGTTGGATATAGCATAAAATAAAAGTAAGTGGAGAAAGAATAACAAGAGGAATTAAGCACTGAATATAATAGGTCTTATTTAATATTTATGACAACTCTGTGAATTAGGTACTATTATTTTCCTCTGAGGAAACGGTAGTTCAAGGTGGTTAAGTAACTTGATTACACATCAGGTAAGTGGTAGAGCTTTAATCGGAACCCAGATACGGCTGATTATCCTCCAAGCGATTATTTTTTACTGTTAATATATCTATCCTTTTAATATTGTAACTTTCTTATATAAAGAGTAGTAAGTATATCCAGAATTTTAAATCACAGGAGTTCAAATCATTTAAACTTTCTCATCAACCAATTTTATTATGGACCATTTTTTTTTCCATTTGGGGAGAGCATTTTTTAACTGCTTTATTAAGATATAATTTAGATACCATAAAGTTCACCTATTTACAATGTACAATTCAGTGGATTATAGAATGAATAAAGAGTTGTGTGACTATCATCATAATCTGATTTGGGAACATTTTCATCATTCCAAAAATAAACCACATACCCATTAGTAGTCACTCCCCAGCTCCTCTCCTTCAAGCCCCAGGAAACCACAAATAATTGTCTTTATATTTTCCTGTTTTGGATATTTCATATCATTCTCTTGACCTTGGAATTTTAAAACAATATATTCTTTGCCAAAAGGTTTTTCTTAATTTACATGTATTATTTTAGCATTTCTTACAGCATCTTGAGGAACCTGAAGCAGACAGAACTATTTCAGTAGAAAAACAATTTCTACGTAGGTTATATAATTTAATTTTTAGTAGGTAAAATAAACGAATAGAAGTGGCAGGATAACATTGTAAAAAGAATAATAGCCATAAAACCAATGTCTAGCCCTTATTTTTGAATTTAATAATTTTGTCTATTTAATAAACATTAGTTGAAATGTACAAAGTGAGATGTATGTGTCTATGAATGCAAATGTGAATAAAAAGGATCTCTCTTTTCAAGGAGTTTTTAATCAAGTAAATGAACCAGATATTAAATAAATTCAGTAAAAGATAATAGATAATTAGAGATATACATTGGGATTTTTGAAAAGAAAAAGGAGAGACGTTTAGTTTTGAATTTGGATGTGGAGAGAATGTTAAATCAAAGACTGATTATGATGCTTCCTGGATAATCTTGGAGCTATCACTTTGCTTCTTAACAAACCTAGAAATTATTTATTTTTTAAGGTGAGATAGTTAAAAACGATCTTTGAAATCCCTTTTAACTCTGTAATTTTGAGTGAGGAGAAGAAATATTTTGGTATTATTTCACCTCCTTCACTATTAACATATGAGCGCACATGTCCTTTTGGTAGAATGATTTGTTTTATTTTGGGTATATACCCAGTAATGGGATTTTTGGGTCAAAGGGTAATTTTGTTTTAAGTTCTTTGAGAAATCTCCAGACTGTTTCCACAGTGACTGGACGAATTTACATGTCCATTAACAGTGTGTAAGCATTGATTTGGCAATGCGGGGTCTCTTTTGGTTCCATATGAACTTTAAAGTAGTTTTTTTCCAATTCTGTGAAGCAAGTCACTGGTAGCTTGATGGGCATGGCATTGAATCTATAAATTACCTTGGGCAGTATGGCCATTTTCACAATATTGATTCTTCCTACCCATGAGCATGAAATGTTCTTCCATTTGTTTGTATCCTTTTTTATTTCATTGAACAGTGGTTTGTAGTTCTCCTTGAAGAGATCCTTCACATCCCTTGTAAGTTGGATTCCTAGGTATTTTATTCTCTTTGAAGCAATTGTGAATGGGAGTTCACTCATGATTTGGCTCTCTGTTTGTCTGTTATTGGTGTATAAGAATGCTTGTGATTTTTGCACATTGATTTTGTATCCTCACACTGCTGAAGTTGCCTATCAGCTTAAGGAGATTTTGGGCTGAGACGATGGGGTTTTCTAGATATTCAATCACGTCATCTGCAAATAGGGACAATTTGACATCCTCTTTTCCTAATTGAATACCCTTTATTTCCTTCTCCTGCCTGATTGCCCTGGCCAGAACTTCCAACACTATGTTGAATAGGAGTGGTGAGAGAGGACATCCCTGTCTTGTGCCAGTTTTCCAAGGAAATGCTACCAGTTTTTGCCCATTCAGTATGATATTGGCTGTGGGTTTGTTATAGATAGCTCTTATTATTTTGAAATACGTCCCATCAATACCTAATTTATTGAGAGTTTTTAACGTGAAGCGTTGTTGAATTTTGTCAAAGGACTTTTCTGCATCTATTGAGATAATGACATGGTTTTTGTGGTTGGTTCTGCTTATATGCTGGATTATGTTTATTGATTTGAGTATGTTGAACCAGCCTTGCATCCCAGGGATGAAGCCCACTTGATCATGGTGGATAAGCTTTTTGATTTGCTGCTGGATTCCCGTTTGCCAGTATTTTACTGAGGATTTTTGCGTCGATGTTCATCAGGGATATTGGTCTAAAATTCTCTTTTTTGTTGTGTCTCTGCCAGGCTTTGGTATCAGGATGATGCTGGCCTCATAAAATGAGTTAGGGAGGATTCCCTCTTTTTCTGTTGATTGGAATAGTTTCAGAAGGAATGGTACCAGTTCCTCCTTGTACCTCTGGTAGAATTCGGCTGTGAATCCATCCGGTCCTGGACTTTTTTGGTTGGCAAGCTGTTAATTATTGCCTCAATTTCAGAGCCTGTTATTGGTCTATTCAGAGATTCAACTTCTTCCTGGTTTAGTCTTGGGAGGGTGTATGTGTCGAGGAATTTATCCATTTCTTCTAGATTTTCTAGTTTATTTGCATAGAGGTGTTTATGGTATTCTCTGATGGTAGTTTGTATTTCTGTGGGATCGGTGGTGATATCCCTGTATCATTTTTTATTGTGTCTATTTGATTCTTCTCTCTTTTCTTCTTTATTAGTTCTGCTAGCGGTCTATCAATTTAGTTGATCTTTTCAAAAAAACCAGCTCCTGGATTCATTAATTTTTTGAAGGGTTTTTTGTGTCTCCATTTCCTTCAGTTCTGCTCTGATCTTAGTTATTTCTTGCCTTCTGCTAGCTTTTGAATGTGTTTGCTCTTGCTTCTCTAGTTCTTTTAATTGTGATGTTAGGGTGTCAATTTTAGATCTTTCCTACTTTCTCTTGTGGGCATTTAGTGCTATAAATTTCCCTCTACACACTGCTTTGAATGTGTCCCAGAGATTCTGGTATGTTGTGTCTTTGTTCTCGGTGGTTTCAAAGAACATCTTTATTTCTGCCTTTATTTCGTTATGTACCCAGTAGTTATTCAGGAGCAGGTTGTTCAGTTTCCATGTAGTTGAGCGGTTTTGAGTGAGTTTCTTAATCCTGAGTTCTAGTTTCATTGCACTGTGGTCTGAGAGACAGCTTGTTATAACGACTGTTCTTTTACATTTGCTGAGGAGTGTTTTAGTTCCAACTATGTGGTCAATTTTGGAATAGGTGTGATGTGGTGCTGAAAAGAATGTATATTCTGTTGATTTGTGGTGGGGAGTTTTGTAGATGTCTATTAGGTCTGCTTGGTGCAGAGCTGAGTTCAATTCCTGGGTATCCTTGTTAACTTTCTGTCTCATTGATGTGTCTAATGTTGACAGTGGGGTGTTAAAGTCTCCCATTGTTATTGTTTGGGAGTCTAAGTCTCTTTGTCTCTAAGGACTTGCTTTATGAATCTGGGTGCTCCTGTATTGGGTGCATATATATTTAGGATAGTTAGCTCTTGTTGTTGAATTGATCCCTTTACCATTATGTAATGGCTTTCTTTGTCTCTTTTGATCTTTGTTGGTTTAAAGTCTGTTTTATCAGAGACTAGGATTGCAACCCCTGCCTTTTTTTGTTTTCCATTTGCTTGGTAGATCTTCCTCCATCCCTTTATTTTGAGCCTATGTATGTCTCTGCACCTGAGATGGGTTTCCTGAATACAGCACACTGATGGGTCTTGACTCTTTATCCAATTTGCCAGTCTGTGTCTTTTAATTGGAGCATTTAGCCCATTTACATTTAAGGTTAATATTGTTATGTGTGAATTTGATCCTGTCATTATGATGTTAGCTGGTTATTTTGCTCGTTAGTTGATGTAGTTTCTTCCTAGCCTCGATGGTCTTTACAATTTGGCATGTTTTTGCAGTGGCTGGTACCGGTTGTTCCTTTCCATGTTTAGTGCTTCCTTCAGGAGCTCTTTTAGGGCAGACCTGGTGGTGGCAAAATCTCTCAGCATTTACTTGTCTGTAAAGGATTTTATTTCTCCTTTACTTATGAAATTTAGTTTGGCTGGATATGAAATTCTGGGTTGAAAATTCTTTTCTTTAAGGATGTTGAATATTGGCCCCCACTCTCTTCTGGCTTGTAGAGTTTCTGCCGAGAGATCCGCTGTTAGTCTGATGGGCTTCCCTTTGTGGGTAACCCAACCTTTCTCTCTGGCTGCCCTTAACATTTTTTCCTTCATTTCAACTTTGATGAATCTGACAATTATGTGTCTTGGAGTTGCTCTTCTCAAGGTGTATCTTTGTGGCATTCTCTGTATTTCCTGAATTTGAATGTTGGCCTGCCTTGCTACATTGGGGAAGTTCTCCTGGATAATATCCTGCAGAGTGTTTTCCAACTTCGTTCCATTCTCCCCGTCACTTTCAGGTACACCAATCAGACGTAGATTTGG
This sequence comes from Homo sapiens, assembly GCF_000001405.40. Classification (NCBI taxonomy): domain Eukaryota; kingdom Metazoa; phylum Chordata; class Mammalia; order Primates; family Hominidae; genus Homo; species Homo sapiens. The sequence continues at coordinate 4,753,362 of NC_000024.10, read as the reverse complement.
TCTTTTCACATAGTCCCATATTTCTTGGAGGCTTTGTTTGTTTCTTTTTATTCTTTTTTCTCTAAACTTCTCTTCTCACTTCATTTCATTCATTTGATCTTCCATCACTGATACCCTTTCTTCCAGTTGATTGAATTGGCTACTGAGGCTTGTGCATTTGTCACGTAGTTCTCGTGCCGTGGTTTTCAGCTCCATCAGGTCCTTTAAGGACTTCTCTGCATTGGTTATTCTAGTTAGCCATTCAGCTAACTTTTTTTCAAGATTTAAACTTCTTTGCCGTGGGTTCAAACTTCCTCTTTTAGCTCAGAGTAGTTTGATCGTCTGAAACCTTCTTCTCTCAACTCGTCAAAGTCATTCTCTGTGCAGCTTTGTTCCATTGCTGGTGAGGAGCTGCGTTCCTTTGGAGGAGGAGAGGTGCTCTGATCCTTAGAGTTTCCAGTTTTTCTGCTCTGTTTTTTTCCCCATCTTTGTGGTTTTATCTACCTTTGGTCTTTGATGATGGTGATGTGCAGATAGGGTTTTGGTGAGGATGTCCCTTCTGTTTGTTAGTTTTCCTTCTAACAGTCAGGACCCTCAGCTGCAGGTCTGTTGGAGTTTGCTGGAGGTCCACTCCAGACCCTGTTTGCCTGGCATCAGCAGCGGAGGCTGAAGAACAGCGGATATTGGTGAACAGCAAATGTTGCTGCCATATGTAGAAAGCTGAAACTGGATCCCTTCCTTACACCTTATACTAAAATTAATTCAAGATGGATTAAAGACTTAAATGTTAGACCTAAAACCATAAAAACCCTAGAAGAAAACCTAGGCAATACCATTCAGGACATAGGCATGGGCAAGGACTTCATGTCTAAAACACCAAAAGCAATGGCAACAAAAGACAAAACTGACAAATGGGATCTAATTAAACTAAAAACCTTCTGCACAGCAAAAGAAACTACCATCAGAGTGAACAGGCAACCTACAGAATGGGAGAAAATTTTTGCAATCTACACATCTGACAAAGGGCTAATATCCAGAATCTACAATGAACTCCAACAAATTTACAAGAAAAAACCAAACAACCCCATCAAAAAGTGGGTGAAGGATATGAACAGACACTTCTCAAAAGAAGACATTTATGCAGCCAAAAGACACATGAAAAAGTGCTCATCATCACTGGCCATCAGAGAAATGCAAATCAAAACCACAGTGAGATACCATCTCACACCAGTTAGAATGGCAATCATTAAAAAGTCAGGAAATAACAGGTGCTGGAGAGGATGCAGAGAAATAGGGACACTTTTACACTGTTGGTGGGACTGTAAACTAGTTCAACCATTGTGGAAGTCAGTGTGGTGATTCCTCAGGGATCTTGAACTAGAAATACCATTTGACCCAGCCATCCCATTACTGGGTATATACCCAAAGCATTATAAATCATGCTGCTATAAAGACACATGCACACGTATGTTTATTGTGGCACTATACACAATAGCAAAGACTTGGAACCAACCCAAATGTCCAACAATGATAGACTGGATTAAGAAAATATGGCACATATACACTATGGAATACTATGCAGCCATAAAAATGATGAGTTCATGTCCTTTGTAGGGACATGGATGAAGATGGAAACCATCATTCTCAGCAAACTATTGCAAGGACAAAAAACCAAACACCCCATGTTCTCACTCATAGGTGAGAATTGAAGAATGAGAACACATGGACACAGGAAGGGGAACATCACAAACCGCGGCCTGTGTGGGGTTGGGGGAAGGGGGAGGGATAGCATTAGGAGATATACCTAATGTAAATGATGAGCTAATGGGTGCAGCACACCAACATGGCACATGTATACATATGTAACAAACCTGCATGTTGTACACATGTACCCTAAAACTTAAAGTATAATAATAAAAAAAACAGTGTGTAAGCATTCCATTTTCTCCAAAATCTTGGCAGCATCTGTTGTTTCTTAATGTTTCAATAGTAGCCATTCTGACTGATGTGAGATGGCATCTCCTTGTGGTTTTGATTTACATTTCTCTAATGATTAGTTATGTTCAGCATTTTTCAAGTGCTTGCTGGCTGCATCTATGTCTTCTTTTGAAAAGTGTCTATTTATGTCTTTTGTCCACTTTTTAATGGGCCTATTTGTCTTTTGCTTGTTCATTTAGGTTCCTTATAGATTCTGGATATTAAACCTTTGTCAGAAGAATAGTTTGCAAGTATTTTCTCCCATTCTGTAGGTTGTCTGTTTACTCTGTTCATAGTTTATTTTGCTGTGCAGAAGCTCTTTTGTTTAATTAGATCCCATTTGTCAATTTTTGTTTTTGTTGCAATTGCTTTTGGCATATTTGTCATGAAATCTTTGCCAGGGCCTATGTCCAGAGTTGTGTTTCTTAGGTTTTCTTCTAGGCTTTTATAGTTTGAGGTTTTACATTTAAGTCTTTAATCCATCTTGAGTTGATTTTTTGTATATGGTCTAAGGAAGGGGTCCAGTTTTAATTTTCTGCATATTGCTGGTCAGTTGTCCCAGCATCATTTATTGAATAGGAAACCCTTTTCCCATTGCTTATTTTTGTCAGTTTTGTCAAAGATCAGATGCATGTAGGTATGCAGCTTTATTTCTCAGTTCTCTTACCTGTTCTGTTGATGTATGTTTCTGTTTTTGTACCATTACCTTGTTATTTTTGCTACCGTAGTCTTATAGTATGGTGTGAAGTTGGGTAATGTACTGCCTCCAGCATTTTTATTTTTTTCTTAGGATTGCTTTAACACTTTGGGCTACTTTTTGGTTCCATAGAATTTTAGAATAGTTTTTCTAGTTCTGTGAAATATGATGTTAGTAGTTTGATAGGAATAATATTAGATCTGTAAATTGCTTTGGGCAGCATGACCACTTTGTCTGTTTTTTTTTTTTTGAGACAGAGTCTCGCTCTGTTGCCCAGGCTGGAATGTAGTGGCGTGATCTCGGCTCACTGCAAGCTCTATCTCCCAGGTTCACGCCATTTTCCTGCCTCAGCCTCCCAAGTAGCTGGGACTACAGGCGCCTGCCACCACACCCGGCTAATTTTTTGTATTTTTAGTAGAGACAGGGTTTCACCGTGTTAGCCAGGATGGTCTCAATCTCCTGACATCATGATCCACCCACCTCAGCCTCCCAAAGTGCTGGGATTACAGGCATGAGCCACTGTGCCTGGCCATGATGACTTTTAACAATATATATCCTTCCTATTCATGAGCATGGAATGTTTTTTCATTTGTTTGTATCATCTCTGATTTCTTTCTTTCAGTGTTTTATAATTCTCATTGTAGAGATCCTTCAGATCCCTATTTAGTTGTATTCCTAGATCTTTTTTAATATGGCCATTGTGAATGAGATGGTGTTCTTGATTTGGCACTCAGCCTGGATGTTGTTGGTGTGTAAAAATGTTAGTGATTTTTGTACGATGATTTTGTATCTTAAAACCTTACTGAAATTGTCTACCAGATCTAGGATACTTGCAGAGACTCTGGCGTTTTCTGGATATAAAATCATATTGGATGCAAATAGAGATAGTTTGACTTCCTCTCTTCCTAATTGGATGCCTTTAATTTATTTCTCTTGTCTGATTGCTCTGGCTAAGACTTCTAGTACTATGTTGAATAGGAATGGTTGAGAGTGCGCATCCTTGTCTTTTTCTAGTTCTCAAGGGGAATTGAACTTTTGCCCATTCAGTATGGTGTTGACTGTGGATATTGTATAGATGGCTCTTATTATTTTCAGGTATATTCTTTCAGTGCCTAGTTTGTTGAGTGTTTTTAATATGAAAAAAAGATGTTGAATGTTATAGAAAGCCTTTTCTGCATGCATTGAGTTGATCACATGGCTTTTGTTTTTAGTTCTGTTTATGTGAGGAATGACATTTATTGATTTGTGTATGTTGAACCAACCTTGAATTCCAGGGATAGTGCCTATTGATCATGGTCGATTTACTTTTAGATGTGCTGCTGAATTTGGTTTGCTAGTATTTTGTTGAGGATTTTTGGAATCTATGTTCATCAAGGATATTGGCCTGAAATTATTTTTGTTGTGTCTCTGTCAAGTTTTTGTATCAGGAAGATCCTGGCCTCATAGAATAAATTAGGGAAGAATCTCTCCTCCTCATTTTTTTGTAACATTTTCAGTTGGAATTGTCCCAGGTCTTTATACGTTTGGTAGAGTTAGGTTGTGAATCTGTCTGGTCCAGGACTTTCCCTGGTTTGTAGGATTTTTTATTACTTATTGAATTTCAAAATTCATTATTTGTCTGTTCAGTGTTTCAATTTCTTTCTGGTTCAATCTTGGGGGGTCATATGTTTCCAGGAATTGATCCATTTCTTCTAGGTTTTTTAGTTTCTGTGTGTAGAGGTGTTTGTAATAGTCTCTGAGGGTTTTTTCTTTTGTATTTCCGTGGAGACTGGTATAGTGTCCTCTTTGTCATTTCTGATTGTGTTTTGTGATTTGTTTGTGTTCCTTGTAGATTCTAGATATTAGTCTTTGTTGAATGGATAGTTAGCTAATATTTTCTCCTACTCTGTAGGTTGTCTGTTTGCTGATTCTTTATTTTGCTGTGCAGAAGCTTTTTAATTTAATTAGGTACCATCTATTTATTTTTGTTTTTGTTGTATTTGCTTTTGGGGTCTTACTCATGAATTCCTTGCCTAAGCCAATGTCTAGAAGAGTTTTTTTGATGTTATCTTCTATAATTTTTATGGTTTCAAGTCTTAGATTTAAGTCTTTGATCCATCTTGAGTTGATCTTTGTATAAAGTGAGAGATGAGCATCTGGTTTCATCCTTCTACATGTGGCTTGCTAGTTTTCCCAACACCATTTATTGAATAAGGTGTCCTTTACTCAATTTTTGTTTTTGTATGCTTTAGCGAAGGTTAGTTGGCTGCAAGTATTTGGCTTTATTTCTGAGTTCTCTATTCTGTTCCATTGGTCTACATGCCTATTTTTATATCAGTACCATGCTATTTGGGTAACTATATCCTTGTAGTATAATTTGAAGTTGGATAATGTGATGCCTCCAGATTTGTTCTTTTTGCTTAGTCTCACTTGTGATATGTGGGGTCTTTTTGGTTCCATATGAATTTTAGGATTTTTTTCTAATTCTGTGAATGATAATGATGATGTTTTGATGAGAATTACATTGAATCTGTAGACTGCTTTGGGCAGTGTGATCATTTTCATGGTATTGATTCTACCTATCCATGAGCATGAGAGGCGTTTCCATTTATTTGTGTCATATATAATTTCTTACAGCAATGTTTTGTAGTTTTCCTATAGAGATGTTTCACCTGCTTGGTTAAGTACTTTCCTGAGTATTTGTTTTTTTGAGCTGTTGTTAAAGGGATTGAGTTATTGGTCTGATTCTCAGCTTGGTTATTGTTGGTGTATAGCAGTGCTTCATCTTCTATTTTATATACAAGGGATAGGTGTGCTGGTTTGTTACATAGGTATATTGCATGATGCTAAGTTTTGGGGTATGTATCTTGTCATCCAGGTAGTGAAAAACATACCCAATAGATAGATCTGCAGCCACACATCCCTCCCTCCCCTCTCTAGAAGTCCAAAGTGTCTATTATTCCCATGTTTATGTCCATGTGTGCTCAATGATTAGCTCCAACTTGTAAGTGAGAACATGGGGCATTTGGTTTTCCATTATTGCATTAAATAGCTTAGAATAATGGCCTCCGGCTGCATTCATATTGCTGCAGAGAACATGATTTTGTTCTTTTTTGTGGCTGCATAGTGTTTCACCATGTATAGGCGTCATATTTTCTTTATTCAATCCACCACTGATTAGTACCTAGGTTGATTCCTTGTCTTAGCTATTGTGAATAGCATGGTAATAAACATACGTGTGCATGTCCTTTTTGTAGAATGATTTTTTTCCTTTGTTTATATACTCAGCAATTAAATTGCTAGGATAAATAAGAGCTCCATTTTAAGTTCTTTGAGAAACTCCAAACTGATTTACACAAGGGATGAACTAGTTTACATTCTCCCCAACAGTATCTAAGTGTTTCTTTCCTCTGCAGTCTCACCGGCATCTGTTGCTTTTTGACCTTTTAATAATAGCCATACTGACTGGTGTGAGATGGTATCTCATTGTGGTTTTGATTTGCATTTCTTCTGATGAGTATATATATATATATATAGCTGCATAGTATCCCATGGTGTATATCTACCACATTTTCTTTATCCTGTCTACCATTAATGGACATTCAGCTTAATTCCATATATTTGCTATTACAAATGATGTTGCAATGAACATATGCTTGCATGTGTCTTTACAATAGAATGATTTATATTCCTTTGGGTACATACCCAGGAATGGGATTGCGGGGTCAAATGGTGTTTCTGTTTTCAGGTCATTGAGGAACCACCACACTGTCTTCCACAATGGTTGAACTAATTTATACTCCTGCCAACAGTATATAAGTGTTCCTTTTTCTCCACAACGTTACCAGCATCTGTTATTTTTTGACATTTTAGTAATGGCCATTCTGACTGGTGTGAGGTGATGTCTCACTGTGGTTTTAATTTGCATTTCTCTAATGATCAGTAATGTTGAGCTCTTTTTTTCATATGATTGTTGGCTGCATGTATATCTTCTTTTGAAAAGTTTCTGTTAATATCCTTTGTTCACTTTTTATTGGGGTTGTTTTTTCTTGTAAATTTGTTTAAGTTCCTTAAAGATGCTGGATATTAGACCCTTCTCAGATGCATAGTTTGAAAAAATTTTCTTCCGTTCTCTAGATTGTCTGTTCACTCTGTTGATAGTTTTCTTTGCTCTGCAGAAGCTCTTTAGTTTAATGAGATCCTACTTGTTAATTTTTGCTTTTGTTGCAATTGCTTTTCACCACTTCTATGTCTTCTTTTGAGAAGTGTTAATATACTATGCCCATTTTTTAAATGAGCTTATTATTATTATTTTTTGCTTGTTGATTTGTTTAAGTTTCTTATAAACTCTGGATATTAAACCTTTGTCATATGCATAGATTGTGAATAATTTCTCTCATTCTTTAGGTTGCCTGTTTACTCAGTTGATTATTTCTTTTGCTATGAAGAAGCTCTTTCATTAAATTAGGTCCCACTTGTCTATTTTTGTTTTTGTCGAAGTTGATTTTGGGGACTTAGCCAAAAATCATTTGCCAAAGTTGATGTCAGGAAGGGTATTTCCTAGGTTTTCTTCTAGGATTTTGATAGTTTGAGGTTTTACATTTAAATATTTACTTCATCCTGAGTTAATTTTTCTATATGGTAAAAAGTAGGATTCTGATTGTATTGTTCTGCATGTGGCTGGCAGTTATCCAAGATTACTTATTGAATAGGGAGTCCATTCCCATTGCCTGTTTCTATTGGTCTTGTTGAAAATCAGGTGATTTTGAGTGTGAAGCTTTACTTCTGAGTGTTCTATTCTGTTCCATTGGTCTATGTGTCTCTTTTTGTCCCAGTATCTTGCTGTTTTGGTTACTGTAACCCCATAATACAATTTGGAGTTAGTAGTGTGATGTCTCTGGCTTTGTTATTTTTGCTTAGGATTGTTTGGTTACTGGGGTTTTTTTTGTTCCATGTGAATTTAGAATATGTTTTCTAATTCTCTGAAGAATGACTTTGAGAGTTTCATATGAATAGCATAGAATCTGAAAATTGCTTTGGGCAGTATGACCACTTCGGTAATATTGATTCTTCCAATTCATGTGCATCAAATTATTTTCCATTCATTAGTATCATCTCTGATGTCTTTAACCAGGGTTTTGTAATTCTCCCTGTAGATATCTTTCTCCTTCCTGGTTAGCTGTAACCCTAGGTGTTTATGTGTGTGTGTGTGTATGATAGGGGGCTACTGTGAATGGGATTCTGTTCTTGCTTTGGTTTTCAGCTTGGATGTTGGTGATGTATAGAAATGCTATTAATTTTTATACATGATTTTGTATCCTGAAACTTCACTAAAGTCACTTATCATTTCTAGGAGCCTTCTGGCAGAATCTTTAGGACTACATATAGAATCATATTATCAGTGAGGACAGGTAGTTTTACTTCTTTCTTTCATATTTTGATGCTTTTTATTTCTTTCTCTTGCCTGATTGCTCTGGCTAGGACTTCCTGAACTATGTTGGGTAGGAGTGATGAGAGTGAGTATCCTTGTCTTTTTCCAGTTCTCAAGGGAAATGGTTTGAGCTTTTGCCCATTCAGTATGATGTTGGCTGTAGATTTGTCATAGATGGTACTTCTTTTCTGGTATGTTGCTTTGATGCCTAGTTGGTTGAGGGTTTTCTTCATGAAGGGATGTTGGATTTTATAAAAAGCTTTTTCAGAACCCATTTAGATAATCATATAGTTTTTCTTTTTAATTCTATTTATATAGCAAATCACATTTATTGATTTGTGTATGTTGAACCAGCTTTGCATCCCAGGAATAAAGCTTACTTGATTGTGGTGAATTAACTTTTTAATATACTGCTAGATTTGGTTTTCTAGTATTTTGTGGAGGACTTTAATATCTGTCTTTGTAATTGATACTGGCCTGTAATTTTTTTGTTGTTGTGTCTCTGCAAGATTTTGGTATCTGTCTGATGCTAGCTTCATACAAAATAAGATAGGAAGTAGCATCTCCTCTGTGATTTTGTTTGTTTGTTTGTTTGTTTTTTGGAGTAGTGTCAGTAGAATTCATACCAGTTCTTTGTATGTCTGGTAGAATTCTGCTGTGAATACATCTGGTCCAGGGGTTTTATTGGTTGCTAGATTTTTTATTACTGGTTTAATTTCAGAGATCAATATTGGTCTATTCAAGGTTTCAATCTCTTCTTGCTTCAATATTTGGAGATTGTGTATTTTCAGGAATTTCATTTCCTCTAGACTTTCTAATTTGTATATACAATGTTGTTTATTATTGTCTTTGAGGAGTCATTGTGTTTCTCTGGGATCATGTGTAATGTTATCTTTGTCTTTTCTGATTGTACTTATTTGGATATTCTGTTTTGATTTTTTTGTTAGTCTAACTAGCAGTCTATCAATTTTGTTTATTATTTTTAAAGAAACTGCTCTTCATTTGGTTGATCTTTTTATGAATTTTTGCATCTCAATTTCATTAACTTCTCTAATTTTAATTATTCCTTTCATATTCTAGCTTTGGGGTTTTTTTTCTGGTTCCTTTATGTGAAATGTTAGACTGTAAATTTGAGATATTTATAACTTCTTGATGCTGGTGTTTAGCATTATAAAGTTTCCTCTAAACACTGCTTTAGCTGCATCCCAGAGGTTTTGGCACATTTTGTTCCTATTTTCATTAATTTCAAAGAATTTTTTTTATTTTTACCTTAAATTTCATGTTTACCCAGGAGTTATTCTGGAGCAAGTTGTTTAGTTTCCATGTATTTGTGTGGTTTTGAGATAACTTCTTTATATGAATTTTTATTTTTATTGTACTGTGCTCTGCAGGTGGGCTTGATATGATTTTAAGTTTTTGAATTTATAGAGACTTGCTTTATGACTATGCATGTAGTTTCTTTTACAATATGGTCCATGTGCAGATAAGAAGAAGATATTTTCTGTGGCTGTCAGATGGAGTGTTCTGGTGATGTCTATTATGTCCAGTTGGTCAGGATCAAGTTTAAGCCCCAAGTTTCTTTGTGAATTTTCTACCTCAATGGTCTCTCAAATCCTGTTAGTGGGGTGTTGAAGTCTCCCACTATTATTGTGTGGTTGTCTAAGTCTTTTCACTTGGATGTGTATATATTTAGGATACTTAAGTCTTCTGTTTGATTTCGCCCTTTATCATTTTGTAATGCCCTTTTCTGTTCTTAATTTTATTGGCTTGAAGTATTTTATCTGATATAAAAATAATTACTCTTGCTCTTATTTTCCATTTGTATAGTAGATCTTTCTTCCATCCCTTTACATTGAGGCTGTGTGTGCTATAACATGTGAGATGGGTCTCTTGAAGGCAAAAGATGGTTGAGCCTTGTCTTTTTATCCAGCTTGCCACTTTGTGTCTTTTAAGTGGGGTGTTTAGTCCATTTACATTCATGGTTAGCATTGATGTGTAATTTTGATTCTGTCATTGTGCTCTTAGTTGCTTGTTGTGTAGACTTGACTGTGTAGTTGCTTTAGAGTGACTATGGGCTATACCCTTAGGTGTGTTTTTGTGGTAGTGGGTGTTGTTATTTCAATTCCATATATAGCATTTCCTCAGGACCTCTTGTAAGGCTTGTCTAGTTGAAATAATTCCCTCAGTGTTTGCTTGTCTGAGAAGGATTACATTTCTCCTTCACTTATGAAGCTCATTTTTGTGGGAAATGAAATTCTTGGTTGCAATTTATCTTCTTTAAGGATGCTGAAAATAGTCCCACAATGTCTCTTAGTTTTTAAGATTTTTTTATGGAAGGTCTGCTGCTTGCCTTATGGGGTTCCCTCTGTATGTGACTTGACCCTTATTTCTAGCTGACTGTAAGATTTTTATGTGTGTATTGACCTTGGTGAATCTGATGACTATGTGCCTTGAGGATAGTGTTATGGTTAGTATCTAGCTTGGGTTCTCTGTGTTTCTTGAATTTGCATGTCAATCTCTCTAGTGAAATTAGAAACAATTTTGTGAACTATATCCTCAAGTATAATTTCCAATTTACTTATTCTCTCTCCTTCTTTCTTAGGAATATCAATGAGTCAGATTTTGTCTCTTTAAATAATCCCATATTTCTCAAAAGTTTTGTTCATCTTTTACAATTCTTTTTTAAAAATTTAATTAATTAAAAGAACCATGCTTCAAGCTTTCAGATTCTTTCCTCAGCCTCATTTATTCTGCTGTTAATACTTCTGATTGTGTTATAAAATCCTTGTAGTGAATTTCAGCTCTAGCAGTTTAGTTTGGTTCTTTCTTAAAATGGCTATTTCATCTTTCAGCTCTTGTATGATTTTACTGAATTTCTTGGATTGGGTTTCAACTTCTTCCTGAATCTTGTTGAGCTTTTTTGCAATCAAGATTCTGAATTATATGTCTATCATTTCAGTTATTTCGAACTGGTTATGAACCATTGCTGTGGAACTAGTGGACTTGTTTGCAGGTAAGAGAACACTTTGGCTATTTAAATTGTGAGAGTTCTTGCACTGACTCTCATGTGGAAGGGTTAGTGTTCTTTCAAGTGTGGTGTAAATTGTCTATAGTAAGTTGGCTTCATTTTTGGATTTTTTGGAGGGCCAAGAATCTGTACAGGGTCTTGATTTTTGGCAGAATTCTTGTTCTAGGTTTCACAGGGCAGTGATTAGCATAATATTTTGGTTTTGTAGTTTGGGCTGTGGTCCAGCAGATGGCACTTAAGAGTAATGGGCACTATATAAACTTAGCTGCATAGCTTCTTGATATTCATTGCATTTGCAAGACATGCTCTGTGGTGCAGTGGGGAAAGGTGACTCCTTCATCAAGCCTGCTCCTGGGCCTTGAGGGTGCCCCATACTGTTGCTGACACTGCCTCCACATTTTTTTTTGTTTGGTTCTGGGCTGCAAGGCTCCCTGGGCAGAGGTCATGACAGGGAGATTGGCCACATCCTTTCTGGGGTGACCCTGCAGAGGGAGGCATGCCCCACTCCTGCTCCAGTCCATGAACACATGCATCTCACCCTCTCAGTGCTCTGTGAGTGTGGGCTCCTCTCCCATTCAAGTGCCAGCCACAGATCTTGGCTCAGCTCTCCTGAGCTGCTCACTGCAACCCTAGGGTGCCAGGACTGGCTCTCAGCTCTATCCTCTGTACCAACAGAGTCAGGTACCAGGTGTGCTGGGGAATCCAAAGTGTTCCCAGGCTACAGGGAAGATAATTGGGTGAAGCACAGCACCCAGGCTGGGCAGTGGAAGCCACACTATCCACACATTCCTGTGGGGTGGCCAGGCAGGGGCACTGGGAAAGGCTGGCAAGCAGGAGAATATGCAGTGCAGACATGCCCCAGTCCTGCAGCAAAGTTGGCCCTGCTTTCTCCTGGTTCAGGGTCAGCTGGGGCTAGAGCTTCTTGGACAGAGATGGGAAAACCTGGGGGACAGGTGCTATAGCCACACTCTGCTGCAGCCTGCACAGTGGACAAAGACCTCTGGCTCTGTGCTGACTGAAGCCCTGCCTCTGCTACTCTCCAAGCAGATCCCCCTGTAAGCTCAAACATTAATGGCAGATGTGGGCCCCTTTGTAAACAGGATACCACAGTTCCTTCGCTCACACATTTCCCAGGAGGTGTTCAGGGCCAGGAGCTAGCCGCAGTGTTCTGGTACCCTGCAAATGGTTCCTAGCCTCCTCCTTCCTCAGCCTTATCATCTGTGTCACATTACTATCCACTTAACATTTTCTCTCTAAAGATGTATCTAAATTATGTAGGTTTACTATAATTCTTGGCCTCTCTTGATGAGAGTGGTGCTTCCTGGCTGTGTCTAGCTGGCCATTTTGTCCTCCCTCTGCATGTATTATTAAACTACAGATTATCATTAAAAAGTTTTTAACATTTAACATATACATATCTTTTTGATGTTGTTTTGTAAAATTTTATTTCTTGAATACTTTATAATTATGTATTTTTTCTTTGTTTGAATAATTTATAATTATATTCTCTATTTCTGAAACCTGAAATCACGGTATTACAGTTTCCTTTTCCTTTTGTCTTCTTACACCCTCTCTTACACCTTATCATTCACCTAGTCTCAAGTCATTTGACAATTTTTTATAATAGAGCTCAGAATCTTAAAAGAGCCCAAAGAATAGAGTAAGTGTACAAAATTAAGATCTATTGAAATCAGTGAATTAGAATACATTTTTTCATTCTCAAAGAAGTGTTATGATTTACAAAGCACAGAATGCTATTTAAATTTATATCCTAATTTGAAAAAGAAGAAAAGAAAATAAGTATTGAGTGCCCGCTGTGCACCAGATGCACTGTGCTAGGAGCTTGGGAATGGTCATTTGCAAGTATTATTTGAAGAACAGAGATTTTTTTGTTGTTGTTTTCATTTAACATTGCCACTTCAATCCTTATTCTGCACTTCTTGATAAAATTGTCATTTTGTAATTGCTAGAAATGGTTTTACCAAACTACTGTTCCATTAGAAGTTTATGATTAGTACAAAATAACTTTCATCCTAACTGCATTGCATCTATCTGTACAAGGAGTCTAATGAAAAGAGTATATAGCATTCAGTGCCAGCCAGTCCTAGGATTCTCCTTTACTATAAGATCGTGAGTTATCTAACCCCTCAATTACACAGATACGAAATAGAAGTAGTAATTCTTCTCTCACAAGGTTATTGTGAAAAGTGAATCTGATATTGCATGTAAACTTCCAAACACAGGGCTTGACACATTAAAGAAAAGCACAAAATTTGTTTCCCAAAAGAATGTACATTCTGGGCCATTGAATAGTTAACAAATAAGTGAATCTTAAGACAAGTTGATACATTCTTTCAACTTTAATTGTTGTTATTAGGTTTGCATGGTCCTAATGAGATAGTCAATTCATTTCAACGTAGCCAAGAATAGTTCCAACAGAACTCTGAATCTAAGTACTCTCTTGAAAATGGAAAGATTTCGTATTTAGCTCACACAGGGCACAATGATGCTTAGAAAAGCGAATTTTAATCTTCTAGTTATTGGCAAAACTTTTGTTTGTAATGGTAATTTTATGTTTTCAATTTTTAAAAAAATTATGTTGATTCTTTCTACTTGCTTTGTCATAACTATTTACAGACCCTATCCTCTACACTCTGATTCATGAATTTTCTGCTTCTGTTTTTAAACATATTTAATACTTTCTGTTAAGATATTTTAATTAGGCCAGGAGTGATGGCTCATGCCTGTAATCCCAGCACTTTGGGAGGCAGAGGTGGATGGATCATGAGGTCAGGAGTTCGAGACATGCCTGGCAAGCATGGTGAAACCCCGCCTGTACCAAAAATGCAAAAATTAGCCGAGCGTGGTGGTGCACGCCTGTAATCCCAGCTACTCAGGCTGAGGCAGGAGAATTGCTTGAACCCAGGAGGCAGAGGTTGCAGTGAGCCGAGATGGTATCAATGCACTCCAGCCTGGGGGACAGAGAAAGACTCTATCTAAAAATATATATATTTTAATTAAAGGTTTACAATATTCTCTGTATATGCTCCATGATATAATAGTATAAGTTAATCTTTTAAAAAAGCTCTAGCTTGCATGTTCTGAACACAAATTAGAATGACAGTTCTTCATTTCCAAATGTGGAGGCTTACAGGTGTTATTTCAGTAAGAAGAAGAAAATGTCAGTTAGATTTTATTAACCAAAAAGTGACTGAGACTGGTGCCTCAATTGGTAGAGTTTTATGTACCCGAAGTTTCAGGATGTGCCCAGCAAAACAGAAGGGACAGGAGTGTCTGTGTCCTGTGCTTTTTTCCAAAGAGGGTTTTGGGAATTTCAATATTTAAAGAGGCAAGAGCAAACAGGAGGAAAGAAAGGAAGAGAGTGTAGGCAGTAAGGGAAAACTTGTATTTTAACTTCAGGGGTATATGTGCAGGTTTGTTACACAGGTAAACTCATGTTACGGGGGTTTGTGTTACAGGTTATTTCATCACCCAGGTATTCAGCCTAGTACCCATTAGTTATTTTTCATGATCCTCTCCCTCCTCCCACACTCCACCTTCCAAAAGACCCCAGTGTGTGTTGTTCCCCTCTACGTGTTCTTATGTTCTCATCATTTAGCTCCCACTTACAAGTGAGAACATGTGGCATTTGTTTTTCCGTTCCTCCTGAATTTGCTAAGGATAATAGTCTCAATCTAAAGAAAATGTGGTACATATGCACCATAAAATACTATGCAGCCATAGAAAACAACATCGTGTCCTTTGCAAATGGTTACGTTCTTTTGTGCCTCCAATTAGTGCTCAGTAAATCTACATTTTACATATAAAAAGAGAGTAGAGAAGAAAAAGTCAGTTATGCATCCCTGTCCCAATTGGTAAATCTCAATTTTACATAAAATAAATATGAAAGGAGAAATTAGAGAAAAAGCCAACTAACTGTGCATTAGTCTCAGAATATGCAGAGGGATGATTTCTGGTCTTGTCCTTGTCCTGTACCTGTGAGGATAAGCTGGTTATTAATATTGTCGGGGAGAGATTCAATGGAGCTTGGTTTTAGGGCTACTTTATAGGGGAGATATATATCCTGATAGACTTAGGGGCTCACAAGGAATTCCACTGTCAGAAATTTGTGAGCGAGGCCATCCAAGGAGATATATGGCCTTCCATCATTGTGAGAACCTGGCTTATGGATGAAGGTTTTGAAATTACAGCTATACAGTTGAAAACAAAAGGAAACAAATACTGTGTGACTCAGTTCCTAAGCTTCACTTCCTTTTGCATAGTGAATTAGAGGCCCTGAGATTCCATTTTCTTTCACAGTTTAGAGTGTTTGCTAGCTACAGAAATTTACTAGACTTTTTTATTTCATAAACCTCCTTATGTTCACAAACCAGCTAATGTTGTAATTTTCACCATGTTACTACATAAGAAAAATTTCCATTATGTTCTGGGTTATCTAGAAAAGAAATTGAAGAATTTGAATATTATGGAGTTAGTTAATACAGACCTGTTAAATTACAGTAATAGAATATACTTACTCTCATAACTAACAGTGGTTTCAAGCCTGGGCTTACCATTTTTACTGCTTTTACTACCATCTGCATGTGCGTGTGTGGGTGTGTGCACGCGCTTTCATGAATTTTGTTCGGTACTTGAAAGTACACAGAAATCATCGAAAGAAATATATTGTAATGATTTTTAATGCCAGAACAATTATTTCAACTTATTAATCAACTTTGTGTATAAAAATACCTCTTCAGTAAGTAACTTTTTCAGAAATAAAAAAGAATAGATTTGAAATGTAGACCTTTAAGAATGTTTATTTAACTGCATATGTGGTATAAAGAACAAAACTAACGAAAGGAAGCAAATAATAAAATAGAAAAAAAGTGCCAGTTATTCAATTTCTTAGTAATAAAATAAAATTCCATCATGTACAATTTTCTTCCAAAAATTTTCAAGAACAGGAAACCAAATACCACATGTTCTCACTTATAAGTGAAAGCTAAATGATGAGAGCTACTTTTACTTAAGAATTGCGGTGGATAAATGATGAGAGCTATGTTTACTTAAGAATTGCGGTAGATAAACTATTGATTGAGGTGCGTATCTCTTCATCTTAATTTGCAAAAATTATTTTTTAATGATATACACTTTTTAAAAATTTGAAGAAATTCACAAATTTATAGAAAAAGTTATAAGTATGGTTCAGGGAATAGTTTATGCCAAAGCATTTGAAAGTAGGTTAACAACATGATTTTCATCACCTTTCTAATACCAGTTTAACGTCTATTACTTATGAACAAGGACATTCTTGATATAACTACAATACAACTATCAAAATCATATATTTTTCTTCTTCAGCCCTGGAATCAGTCATGTCTTTAACCAGTTCTGGTTCCTTTTATTACAAAGTAGTATTTATAAGTCAGGATCTGAGCACTATATTTGCTCTTTGAGATTATGATGTTGCTGCTCCAAAGCCTGTCCTCTCAGTAAATAAGCTAGGGTATGTATGTATTAGTGCATACGCAAAAACAAACCAAAGTTTATGGTAGTATTTCTTTTCATAGCTCTATATTTCGAAAACCATGAGCTCATACTGTATCTCAAATTCCAGTCTATACTACTGGGTTTATTCTAGTTTTATACTTTATCATACTTGAATTTCCTTTTTATTCTGATAGTGGAAAACCTAGCTTACATTATGCTTCGTATATTTACTCATTTGATCAGTCCCCCTGTATGTAATTAATCTCCTGACTTTAACTTCAGCCACTCCTCTGCACATATAACCTCATTGTCATGCTCAAGTCTGAGATTGTGCCCCAACTCATATCTCCATGTGGAGATCCTCCTCATCCTGCATAGTCCTGAATATCCCACACCAGGCTGACCACCACGCTGCTCTCACCCTGCTTGGATGCTGACATCTTGTGCTTAGCCACCTGGCTGCATGTGCCTGATATGGTTTGGATTTGTGTCCTCACCCAAATTTCATGTCAAATAGTAATTCCTAATGGAGAAGGAACCTGGTGGGAGGTGCTGGGATCAGGGGGGCAGATTTCCCCCTTGCAGTTCTTGTGATAGTTAGTTCTCATGAGATCTGGTTGTTTAAAAGTGTGTAGCACCTCCCATTTCACTCTCTTCCTCCTGCTCCAACCATGTAGGATGTGCCTGCTTCGCCTTCACCTTCTGCCATGATTGTAACTTTTCTGAGGCCTCCACAGCCATGCTTCCTGTAGAGCCTGTGGAACCACGAGCCAATTAAACCTCTTTTCTTTATAAATTACCCAGTCTAAGGTAGCTGTTTATAGCAATAGGAGAAGAGACTAATAAGGAAAATTGGTACAAGGAGTGGGATACTGTTATAAAGATGCCTGAACACATGGAAGCAGCTTTGAAAGTGGGTAATGGACAGAGTTTGGAACACTTTGGATGGCCCAGAAGAAGAAAGAAAGATGAAGGAATGTTTAGAACATTATAAAGACTTGTTGTATGGTTGCTGACAGTGATATAGACAACGAAGTCCAGGCTGAGGAGATCTCAGATGGAGATGAGGAACTTATTGGACACTGGAGTAAAGATCACTCTTGTTATGTGTTAGCAAAGAGGTTGGAGGCATTGTGCCCCTGCCCTAGAGATCTGTGGAAGTTTGAGTCTGAGAGTAATGATTTAGGGTATCCAGTGGAAGAAATTTCTAAGCAGCAAAACATTCAAGATTTGGCCTGGCAGCCGGTTGCAGTGGCTCATGCCTGTAATTCCAGCACTTTGGGAGGCTGAGGTGAGTGGATCACCTGAGGTCAGGAGTTCGAGACCAGCCTGGCCTACATGGTGAAACCTCATCTCTACTGAAAATACAAAAATTAGCTAAGCATGGTGGCACGTGCCTGGAATCCCAGCTACTCGGGAGGCTGAGACAGGAGAATTGTTTGAACCCAGGAGGCGGATGCTGCAGTGAGCTGAGATCTCACCACTGCACTCCAGCCTGGTGATAGAGTGAGACTCCGTCTCAAAACAAAGAAAGGATTTATCCTGGCTGCTTCTAACAATGTATGGTCATATGTTTGAGCAAAGATATGACCTGAAACCACAACTTATATTTAAAAGGAAAGCAGAATATAAAAGTTTAGAAAATTTGCAGCCTGACCATATGACAGAAAAGATTTTTAAAAAACCTTTTTCTGGGGAGGAATTCAAGCCGGCTGCAGAAATTTGCATAAGTAAAGAGGAGCCCAATGTTAATAGCCAAGATGATGGAGAAAATGCCTGAAACGCATTTTGGAGACCTTCACAGCAGCCCCTCCCATCACAGCCCTGGAGGCCTAGGAGGGAAGAATGGTTTTGAGGGCTGGGCTCAGGGCCCTGATACCTTGTGCAACTTTGGGACACTTCTTCCTTTGTCCTAGCCCCTCCAGCTCCAGCCATGGCTGAGAGGGCCCCAGATATGTCTCAGGCTGCTGCTCCAGAGGGCACAAGCCATAAGCCTTGGCAGCTTCAATGTGGTATTAAGCCTGCGGGTGCACAGATGTTAACAGATGAGCCATGGAAGCCTTAGCCTACAGTTTAGAGGATGTATGGGAATGCCTGGATATCCAGGCAGAAGTCTGTTGCAGGGGAGGGACCCTCATGGAGAACCTCTAACAGGACAGTACCGAGGGTAAATGTCGGTTTTGAGTCTCCACACAGAGTCCCCACCTGGTAATTGCTTAGTGGAGCTGTGAGAAGAAGGCCACAATCCTCCAGACCCCAGAATGGTAGCTCCATTGACACCTTGCAGTGTGCACCTGGAAAAGCTGCAGGCACTCAATGCTGACCCATGAAAGCAAGGTACAGCTTTGGGGGCTGTACCCTGCAGAGTACAATCTCAGAGCTCATGCCCAGTGCAGTGTCTTCTACCCTGTGTTCCATGTTTGACTACGTTTCACATCCAGGCCACACTAATGCAAGGGGTCGGCTCCCAAGGCCTTGTGCAGCTCTGCCCCTGTGCCTCTGCATGAGGGTGGAGCTGCACAAGGTCTTGGGAGCCCACCCCTTGCATCAGTGTGGCCTAGCTTGGGAACATAGAGTCAAAGGGCATTATTTTGGAGCTTCACAATTTAATGACTACCCTGCTTGGTTTTGGACATGCATGGGGCCTGTAGCCCCTTTGTTTTGGCCAATTTCTCCCTTATAGAGTGGAATCATTTACCCAATGCCTCTACCCCCATTGTATCCTTGAATGACTACCTATTAGGTACTATGCCTATTTCCTAGATGACAAAATTATTTGTAAATCAAACCCCTGTGACATGAAATTTATCCATATAACAAATCTACATACATATCCCTGAATCTAAAATAAAAGTTAAAAAAAAATACAGTTCACATAAATGATTTTCCTGAAACTTTTTAAAAAGCCCAAATAATTGATTTTAAGAAAATATTTTCTTCTGGTTGAATTAGTTTTTCTCTTCTATAATAAACCTCATTGAGAACTTTCTAAAAATCTGTCACACATATATTCTCAGTGACCTGAATCCTGTCCACCAGAAATCCTGAAGGACCCTAAAAATGCTATTTGTGGACTAGTTAAGTATGTCAGCAGCTGTAGAGCTTGACAAATCATGACTTCTACACATCGCATTGCAAGATATTTGACCATAGAATTATTACTGAGTTTCAAGAAGGGTGACTAAAGTAATTTTGAAAAAAAAAATAGAGAGTTTAGACTACTTGATTTTAAGATAGTATGAAGCTTCAATAATTAAGCCAGTGTGGTACTGGTAAAAAGATAAACTAATAGATCAATGAAATAAAAAAGGGAGCCCAGAAATATCCCTATACATATATGATCAATTGGTTTTTGTCAAAGGCAGTTCAGTGGAGAAAATGAAGAAAGAATGGTCTTATCCAAAAATGGAGCAGAAACAATTGGACTGCCATAAGAGAAATAAGTAGTTAAACCTTGTCCTATATATTTCTCATAGTATATACAAAATGGATCACAGGCCAAAATGGAAAACCTTAACCTATAAAACAAATAATAGGAAACAAAAGGGAATGTATTTACTACCTTAGCCTTGGGTTAAATAAATGTGTTTTTAGATATGACACAGAAAGCATGATGCATAAAAGAAAAAAATGATTATCACCAAAATTAAAAATTACTATTCCAGATTCTGCTTCTGCTTCTTTAGCATTTACCTCATAGTCCAGGCAAACTAGACTATGAATTTCCCACTCTGTCAAAATTTGACCTATTCTTCATAACATAATTCTATCTTTCTGGAGCTCCCCAGGTCCAATTGCTATGATACTTTATTGTGTTTCTATACCATTTTGAGTTTATCTCACTTGTTTTATCTTTCAAACTTTGTTTTGCAACTTATATGAATTTTACGGGCTTAAAAACACCTTCAGAACAAAGATCACATCTTCACATTTTCATCTTTTCTTACCCTTAGACCCAACAAGAGGCCTTATATATGCTGGACACTGAATAAATGTTAAAATATATCTCATTACATGGGAGATAAGCATTCATTTGTTTTAGGTCACAAGCTATATTCATCTGTATCAAATAGAAGTTATGGGCAAATTTTTTCCTTCATATAATTGGACTTGCCTGTTCTATAGTAGAAATTATTCATGGAATATCAGTCTGGTTAGGTAACAAACCCAAATATAGCCTGTTCTGCACACCTGTGTATCCAGAATTTTGGGGCTTCTTATTGCTCTCTATAGTGGGTTAGCTAATTCAACGAAGGCTCAATCATCCCTATGCCTAATCAGGAGAAGAAGAGGTAAGAGCAAGTAGCATTAAAGAAAGAAGAATATGCTTCCTTAATGGTGTTCTAGAGAGGGAGCCTTGAGAAGCTGAAGGTATAATTGGAAATCTCAGCAATTCTTGGTTCTCATTTTGAGAGCATCAGCTCCCTGTATGATCATCTACAGCTTTTTCCATTGTAAAATACTGAGTGTATTGGATGACCCTGCTTTAGTAGTAAATACATTGTATTTTTAACTTTATATCTTCTTAAGCAAAGGGATAAAGAGCTGTTTTATTCAACAGGACACTTTCTTGTTATAGTAGATAGAACTTTGTAGTGAAGGATGCTGTTGTATAATGAAGGATGCCATTGTATATTGAGGGTCCTCAAATAAACACATATAAAATGGGCTAGATTCAAAAGGTTAAATTATGTTGTCAATTTTTATATATTCATCTTTTATTAATTGAATCAAATGCAAAACAGTGTTTTCTTGAATTATGGTAGTGCTGATATATTCTTTCTGACTCTATAAAGATGGCAAGAAATGTTACACTTAATTCTTTATAATTTGGGTGTATGACTAGAATTAATATAATTTTCCATTATTTGGAATATACATGTTTTAAATGTTTTATTTAGAAATGTAAGAAAGAACATGATATTCTGCATATACAAACTCACTTTTAATCCTAAGTTTATTTTGCACTAAACTAAGATTTTTTTCTATGTTGTCTGACAGAACAGAGTTTATGAATTTCAAGTACAAGCTGAACAAATTAAAATCAGTAACTTGCAGTATAGTACTAAAAATAGCAAAACTACAAAATAAAAAGATTCTGTCTGATTTGTAGATGCCAAATAGAAATAAGTATCTTTCCCTTTGGAATCAAGTATAGTGAGGTCTCAAAATAAATGTTTCAAATCTTTTGAAAACTATCCAAAATGCTTGAGATTTTTCTAAGTATCTGAGCCTAGTTTTAGATCTCACCAATTGCATCTGCATAGTGTTTCAGCTGAAACAGATGCAGATAACGGTTAGGCTTATTTGCAGAATGTATTCTTAAAAACATAATATAGGCATAGTTGCTGATTGAAAGTAAGGGGAACAAGGATAATGAAACATATTTAATGTAAAAAGCTCATTCTTCTAATAACTTTACCTTTCTTCAAACACATCTAAACACATCTTTTTTACCCAAGCTACTAAGAAACAAGAAATGCAATGTTTATAATTTTACTTTCTCTTACTTATATGCCTTCTCTGTTGTGAGAAGTGAGTCAGCTTAAATAAGAGGAAGGTGAAAGAAGTAAAGAAATTGGATACTTCACTAACATGATAAGCAGATTTTTCAGTAGCAAAAATGTGTGGTTTCAAGAGGAAAAAAATCAATTATTTTTAAAAATATTTTTTAATTAATACATTTCCCACAAATTAACTGCCAAGATGTAGTAATCTAAAATGATATAAGATCATTAATTAATAAATACACAGACATTTATTGAACACTGGGTACAAGACACTGCACTGGACACAATCTCTGAGACTGTTGATAAAATAGAATCACTGCTGAGATCACTTCATTTACTGTGTAGATTTGGAAATTCTCGCATGCTTTTATATTTCCATAAACTTATAGTTTGGACTCATTTCATTGGAATTTGCATGTTATGTATTAAAGTCATAGTGTGACTATTAGGGACTCTAAAACACAGTTTTCAATAACTTCTCTAATCATTAATTCAGATACTGTTAATCAAATTTTAAAAAGGCTTGAACAGATACTTCGCAAAAGAATACATATGAAAAGATGTTCAACTTCATTAGCTATCAGAGAAATGCAAAGTAAAGCCAGCACTACATAGCCACTAGATGAGCTAAAGTTAAATTGTAGGCAAGGATGTTGAACAAGTAAACTCTCATATATAGCTGGCAGTATTGTAAAATGGTACAACTACTTTGGAAAACAATTTCATACAGTAGTTTCATATGAAGTTAGTAATACACTTACTATATTATCTATTTCACTCCTAGATTTTCACCGAAAAGAAACAAAAATGTTTTTCTACACAAATACTTACACATAAATGTTCAAACTAATTCTATTTTTAATAGACAAAACTTGGAAATAGACCAGTTGTTTTTCAATGCATGAATGGTTAAACGAACTGTAACACATCTGTCCATACAATGGAATACCAGTGAGGACAAAGAAAAAACTATTAATATGCACGACCACATACATGGATCTCTAAAACATTATTATGAACAAAAGAAGCCAGACACAAAATAGAATATAAAGTATGATTCCACCAGTATGAAACTCTAGATGTGACAAATCTAACCTATAGTCACAGAAAGCACTAGTTTTCTAGGATTGGTAGTGGAGGTGGGGATGGGAATTTACTGCAAAGCAGCATAAGGAATTTTTTGGGGCAATACAAATATCCTATAATTGATTTGGAATGGTAGTTACATGGGCGTATACAGTTTTTAAAACCAGTGAATTGTGCACTTAAAGTGTATGTTTTTCTTGTTGAATATAGACTATACTTCAATAACGTTGATTTTAAAAAGAAAAAATACTGTTATTAAGCATACTCATATAGAATAATGGATATTTTAAATACATAGCCCCTAGATTTACTGCCTTAGCCAATTTTAAGTATACAATATATGTTATTAACTATAGTTACTATGCTGCACATTGGATTTCTGGAACTTATTCATTTTATAACTTAAACTTGAAATTTGCTTAAGGAATAGATCTTAAGTGTTTTCACCACACGCGCGCGCACACACACACACACACACACACAAATAGTAATTATGTTAAGGGCTAGATATGTTAGTTAGCTTGATTATGGGAATCATTAAACACGGTAAACAAAACATCATGTTGTACATGTTAACTATAAATAATTTGTCAATCACACCTCAATAAAAATTTAAAAAGTAAAAATAAACAAATAAATAGGTAGCCTGTAAAACAATTGAATCAATTTTTGAAATTTATCTAGGTAGTTAACCATAATATTTATCATCTAAACCAAACACTTTTGAGAGTGAAAGAGGGATGCCTTCAGAATAAGAGGCATAACTGAGGACTGTCCCAGGAAAATAGGGACATATGGTCACTGTAAATATTGGTAATTGTTATAATGTGACTAGCCTCCAATGGCATGGTTTCATTTACTCCTTACAAACTTTCTCTTTTCCTTCCATCTATTTTTGTTTCTCTACTTACTCTACTTAGCTTCTATTCTATTTATTTATCTCCCTTCATAGATCACCTATATGTCATGACAGATGACAAATACTGATTTTTTTTTTTTGAGACAGAGTCTTACTCTGTCACCCAGGCTGCAGTGCAGTGGCACAATCTCAGCTCACTGCAACCTCTGCCGCCCAGGTTCAGGCGATTCTCCTGCCTCAGCCTCCCGAGTAGCTGGGATTACAGGCACCTGCCACTGCACCAGGCTAATTTTTGTATTTTTAGTAGAGACGGGGTTTCACCATATTGGTCAGGCTGGTCTTGAACTGCTGACCTCAGGATCCACCTGCCTCGGCTTCCCAAAGTGCTGGGATTACAGGCATGAGCCACCGTGCCCGGCCAAATACTGATAATTTTTACTGAACTATGAAAATACTGTTTTGTTTTTAAATAAATATAAATGTAGCTTCCTTAATGATTCTCAAATTACTATACATTCTAGTTACCTATGAGATTCGTATTGCAGTTAATTAGATAGCACAGTAACTATAAGGCTGAGTATAAAGTAAAATGATGCTTAAGCATAACATGACAATTTTTGAATTTCCTATCAGCATTTATCTTCATTTTAGCAGAGAGTTGTATGGTAAGTCCATCTTTGATGGGCTTTTTGAATTTTTATAAAACTAATCTAGAAGATTATGCACATTCTAGGATTTATAAATGTGCAAAGTCATAATCACAAGGAACATCATTTATATGGTTTTCACCACATGAGTCTTGTGAAATAATTGATATAAAAAAATTCCTTGCTTCTATGGCCGTTATCCCTTTTCAACTTATTTGTGAACTCATTCAAGCAAAGGTTAGGCAATTACCTTCCAGGGATACTTGGAGTGACTCTGGCTTTTCAAGACAAGTTGGATAGCTGACCTCTAAGGTTGTTTGTAACTTTCAGTCCTATTATTCTGTTAGAGAGGAGAAAGCGAGGCAGCTAGGCAAAGAACAGATGTGAACGACGCCTACCAAGCAGCTTAAAGTGTTGT
The DNA here is from genome assembly GCF_000001405.40 of Homo sapiens. Lineage (NCBI taxonomy): Eukaryota > Metazoa > Chordata > Mammalia > Primates > Hominidae > Homo > Homo sapiens. The sequence goes on along the minus strand of NC_000024.10, from coordinate 4,728,258 downwards.
ATCTCCATTTGCATATAACCTGAATACAAATGCAATTCAATGCATATTTTAAGTTGTGTCATACCTGTGTGACGTTATTTGCAACAGAATATTAAATATTAAATAACAAGTCACACAATACTTTTGGTGTTGTATACTTTTGAAGATTTCATGTCTGTCTTAGCATAAATTTTGATCAGAGAGACCCTCTTTCGTTGATAAAAGAGAATTGTTTTTGCTCTTTGTGGAACACATGTGATTTTTTATGCTATGATTTATGTCATTATTAACATTGCTTTATTTTAGTGGAAGATTGGGGCTATTTACTATATAATTTAAGGACAATTAAGATGCAGAACTTTGAAAAAATATAATGACTGATTACTAAACTGTTTAATAATACTTTTATTTATCTTATTTTTCACCAATACATGTGTAGAGTAAAATAAATATTAAATTTATTTTTCTAACTTTTCTCCACTTTGGAGCTCCAACTGATTTTCTTTAAATAAAATGAACTTCTTTCACTGCTAGCTTTGTAGGGAGAAGGAACGTAATTGTCCCGTTATCAGACCAAAGGCCTTTAAAATATTTCATTTGGAATTTGTGACAGAGCTGCATTAGAAAAACTCTCACATCCTTATTTTTGGCTCTCTATGTGGGTATAAGATCATGGATAGTTTTCTAAGTATGAAGACTTTGCTGAAAGGAGAAATTGTAGAATTTCTTTCCATGGAACTTTCTCCTGCATTCTAAGTGAGTGATTTAATATAAAGAATGAATATTGACAAAATCAGAGAGTAATGAAATTTGCTCTGTTTGGCTGTGGATAAAAATGCCACAATAGGTTCACATTTTCTTTCTAAGTGGGGGATACATAATCTTTCATATGAAATATGCCTTTTTATTTTTATCAAATATTCAGTTATTTTGGAAAGAAATATATTTTCAAATCCATATTCTGTCTTTTTTGTCCCTTCCAGGAGCCTTCAACCATTACTTCATTAATGGTTGATGACTAAACTACTCTAAGTCGTCTCCTTAAGCTATATTTATTTGTCCTTTAGAGACGTTTAAGGCATTCATAAATATCATTAAAAGTTAAATGATAAGCTGTGTGTTTAACACTGTTTAATAGAAGAATTTTTATCCAATAGTTATTCATTGAGTAATCTGAGAAACATTGAATTAACTTACTTTCCAGATTATGACTTTTTAATTTTTCTCTAGTTTTTTAAACCCCCAAACTAGATATTTGTGAAATGGTTTCTGAGCAGAAATTGCCACATCATGTTCTTTTGCATAGCAACATGCAGCATTTTGTAGTTAAGACTATACCGCAGTAATAATGGAATATTTTTGAAACCATGTTGGTTATAGCAGTAGCTCAAATATCATGAGTATAAGATGTGTTTACTCACATCATTTTCATAGAAACAAAATGTATGATTCGAATTTTTTTTAAATCTCTATGGCAATTTTCTCCAAATTGTTTTCCCACACCGTAGCATTCTTACAGAGGAGTGGAAAATCAGGTTGTATGCATCTGCAGTCTCCTGCAAAGTAAGCATGACAGGATGAGGAAAAGTGCTTCCTCCATTAAACCCAAGAGTACAGAAAATAGCTGTAGTTTGATCTAACACAGCATCTTTTTCTTTGTAAGCCATCCCTATAAAAAACTGCCACGTGCAAAAAAATTCTTAGTGTTTGTATTTTTCACAATATTTGTCACACACAACTGTAACCTCTCCTACTGTGAACTAAATAGCCTTTTCCATATTCTCAGAGAGCAGCACTGTTCAGTATGCAGTAACTCGTTTTTATCCTTAAGCAGCAAAGTGTGAGACAACTCTCTCTGTACCCATTAGTATAGCCACATAAATGCGTTTGGTTAGGTTTACCCCTTGTTTAATCTTAAAATAGACTACAAATGCAGAGGGCAAATGAAAATAAATTACATAGCAATTTAAATTATTAAATTAATAGAAAAATAATATTTGAATAGTGTTAGCTACCTAAGTAGCCTACAATTCATGACAATTAATTTGCATAAAGAAAATTGAATTAGTATATACATTTTTCCAATTTGAAATATGTTTCTAGGACAATGCTGCCTGGAGGTTGTTTCTCTATTCTTTCTTTTCCTGCAATAATGCACCTATGAATGTGTTGAGAACTGTGAAGGGTCTAAGATTTTACCCTTCTTACAAGCTAATGAGTTAGGCTGCCATAGTTTCATGGATACTGGCAGAAGACATGAGACATCAGTCAGAAAAAGTAAGTTTTTTACTAATGTCAATAACAGTAGCCAGAGTGTCGGCATCAGCATTTGTCCCAGTTCTGTAAGCCTTAGTTCTCACAGAGTGATGTAAGAGGTTCACATGATGCCTATACATGCAATAGGTTACATTACAGAAAAGGAACCCTGAGCTCAGGGAACTTAAACTTTTTTCAGAGTCAGTAAGCCTATGTGATTATTGTCATGGAGGGAGACATTGTCTTTATTATACTGGACAGTAAACAAAACTGTTCCATGCTCTGGGGGAGAAATTATCCCTATCTTCTAAAGCAGTTCATGATATAAGCATTCTCAAAAAGATAGTCTGGAAGAAAGTCAGACAATGACTCTCTTTGCAAGACTTGCAGCAATGTGAGAAACCTACAGATAATTGTCTCCTAACTGTGTGTGTCTTTTAGCCAACATAAAAAGGAATAGAAAAATCTTAGATAAAATAAATCACTATATACTTGATTTAAAAGAGTATTTTGACATTTTGCAATTAGAGATTGTTTTCTTTTGATGTAACTATTTGAAGAAGGATTATCCAAATAGTCCAAAGTTTCACTATTGTAACTAGGAAATTTTCCACTGGCCTATGATCCTCAGATAGGCATAAAAGAAATAGGTGCAGAGAAAGAAGAAGGCTTATTCTGTCAACAAATGACCATGTTCAATAATATAAAAATAATTTTTCAACTCTACAGTCATTATTCTGGATACACTGCCACAGATTCCTAACAATAATAGTAAGGGCTATTATTGATTTTAAAGGCTGACCTATAGTGTCCAGGGCACAAATACACAAACAGTTTTAAGAGTTCTTAAGAGTGATTTTCATAATATGGCACTTTAGAGGTATGTTGAAACACATTATCAATATTAAAATGTCCCAAAGTTATGTTCCTAAGAGGCTATTATTTCTAAGTCAGTGTGATTGAAAATATAAGCAAGGGACCAACGTCTTCTCTCTTCTAGACATGAACGCGAAATAATGCCATTTGGTTCATAGTAAAGGCGAGTAGCTGTCTATGAATGATGTGTTGCTGTGTACCTATTGATACTTAATGTTTTGTGCAACATTTACAGTGTTAAGATGACGTTGGTTGTAAATATGTTCATATCATTATGTATTTTTCCATTTAGTAGCAACTTCACTATATTCATATTTATTATCTATGTGTATTATTTACTCTGTTTCAGTGGTAGAAAAGAATTTGAAAAATGATCTTGATGAAATTCATTTAGAAACCATATTAAACATATTGCATGTTAATGTCTTATAAACAAAACTTTTTTTTTGATACATAGTGTCTCTCTGTCACCTAGGCTGGAGTGCTGTGGTGAGGTCTTGGCTCACTGCAACCTCCACCTCCCAGGTTCCAGCGATTCTTGTGCCTCAGCCTCCCGAGTAGCTGGGATTACAAGCACATGTCATCACAACCGGCTAATTTTTGTATTGTTATTAGTGATGGGGTTTCACCATGTTGGCCAGGCTGTTCTCCAACTCTTGACCTCAAGTGAGCCACCTGACTTGGCCTCCCAAAGTGCTGTTACAGGCATGAGCCACCATGCCTGGCCAGAAACAAAACATTTGAACAGTAATGATTACTTTGTCACCATGAACTTGGTTAGAAGCTGATTCATAGGCAAGATTCCTAAAACATTTGCCATCTTTCTCAATTTCATGTTCTACTTCTTTGTCTGTTAGTGTAACATTAAATGCTTCCCTACACAAATAGTACATATTGTTAAAGCCTTTCAATTCTAGATAATCAAATGTCGTTCAGTGTATACACACTTTTTATAGTACACTGATTTGTTTCTTTTCTGTTTTAGATATTCTACCAACTATCAAAGTATAAAGAAGAGTAAGTATTATACCCGAGGTAAAAGTGTTATAGGAATATAGAGAAGAAAAAATTGATTTTTAACAGAAAGCTTCATGAAAATGGTAATATTCTAGCTGAACCTTGAAGGTTGAATATGATTTCTGGGGCATCGAATATTGAGCATGAAGCTATGGATAAAGAGATCATTGTGGCCAGAACACAAGTAACATAGAAGGATATAATAGAAAATGAGACTGGAAAGTTTGTACGGCCAGGACACCTTGAATGCTTTGCTATGACGTATTGATGCAATTTCCTGCATAGTGAATATACTCAAAATATTTCTGAGCTGAGTAGTGGCATAACCTTACCTGTTGAGAATAACCCTAGAAAAATAATAGAGAAAGCAGAAATAATTGGGAGCTTTGGTAACACTCTGGGCAAGAATTAATAAAGGTGTGACATATGACCATGGATAGGAAAGAAAAGATATGAAAACATGGTGGAAGCATGATTAGAAGGTCTTTCAATTAAATGAATGTGGAATGAAAGGAAAGAGTTACAATGATTTTGAAATTTCTAATATGTTATTTTTAAAGCATGTTATTTTAAAGGTGAGAACTGAAATAACAAGGAGTAGGACCACAAGAGGAAGAACAGGTTTGGTGACTCAGATAAGTTTGGTATTAGAAATGTCAGGTTTGGGATCCTAGCGGCATATTCACAAGGAGACACATGCCATGCCATATGTTGAAAATGAGTCTAGAGCTTGAAAGAGGAAGCAGGGCAAGAATTATAGATGTGGTAGTCATCAGCCTGTACGTCATAACGTTATTGTGAAGAGGAAGAAAAAAGATTTTTAAAAATGAGATAGTGTTTACAATGGTGTTGATGAACAGTGTCAAATACCCAGCGAGGATTGAGAAGAAGCATTTGGTCTTGACAGTTAGGAGATAACCAATTACCTGCAAGAAAGGCACTTTCATTTTGAATGAAAACTCGATAATGAGGAACAAAGAAACAGTTTGTAAGAAAATGAAAACCAATTCTAGATCATACTTTTTAAAAGTTTTGAATGTGAAGGGAAGGGGAGATGTAACATGATAATATGGCAATGTAAGATTTTGATTTTTTGTCTTTATTTTTAAGGAAAGTTGAGTAAGTTGATAACGCTTTTAACTAAAAAGGCTGACTGGAAAATAGGTTGGAATATTACAAGTAAGTATATATTGAAATATCACTCCAAATGAAAGGACACTGATTATGTCACAGGCTTAATATTTTGACATAACACTGGCATTATTTCCCAAAGAACCACATTAGAAAACTTGAGTTCATTATAAGAACATATTCACAAATCCTCAGTGTTTAAATATCAGATTCCACTCCCTAACTTTCTATATTTTCATTTTTCATTAGAAAATATTTTATAAATACCTAATTTTATTCATATTTAACCCATAGTGAACCAGACAGAAAGTATTACAAATGTTTTAAGACCAAATAAATATAAAAACTTGTAATCTACATCTTTCTACTAGAAAATAATTTTGAATAACTGTAAAACACATTATTAAGAAGTCTTGGCTTGGTGTGGTGGCTCATGCCGGTAATCCCAGCACTTTGGGAGCTTGAGGCAGGAGGATTATTTGAGCTCAGTAGTTCTAGAACATCCTAGGAATCATAGCAAGACTTTGTCTCTACTAAAAATAAAAACAAAAAAAAATGGAGACAAAAGCCAGGATGGCTGACTAGATGCAACCAGGAAGAGCATCTCTCACCAAAATACCAGACCATCGAGAAGATCAGCATACTCCAAGCAGATCTTCAGAAGAAGGGCATTGAGAGTGGACAGAAGGAGAATGCAGACTCTGGACTGAAAGAGGAGAAAGCTGAGAACCCTGCATGAGGCTGACAAACACCAGGACTAGTTCCTGGTCCCAAACAGCTCTTGGGAAAGGGATGAGTTAAACAGGCGAGAAGTGGTCCAATCTGACCACAGACTTGTAGAATCCTAGCTGCAGGAGATCTGATAAGCCCCATGGATATTTGACCTGAAAGGGAGGGCTGCTTTAAGAAGTATCAGGGACAGGACTCCAGACTGTCTGGAGCCCAGATGGTTTGGCGAAGGAATGGCTGCAGATGAACATGGCCAGGAATGCCCATTCCCCAAGGCTTGCCATGCTTTTCTAGGTGAGATTGGCTTTTGTTGACTATTGGACTTGGAATAAAACAGGGTAGTCTTGCCGATGAGATGGGGCCAGTATGACCTGAGCACCTCCCTGTCTGCCAGCCTCTCTCAGGGATCATGCCTAGCCATGCCCACTAGCATTGTAGCCTTGAACACTCAACAGGAGTGCTTCCTGGCAGCTGCCACCACAGCTCCTTCACTAGCAGACCTTTCATAACTGTAAGAGAGCTTCAGCTGACAGGCCCCAACAAACATGCCCCCACCCACCAGAAGCCTCTCCCTATTGCTTTGCTGGAACATACTCACCCACAGTCCCCTCCACTGCTCTGTCAGTGCGTATATGTGGACTGTCTCATTGCCACTGGCATGCATGAGTGGTTATGTTGAACTGCTGCTCCGCCTCCACTATTGTGCACTTGGAACACACAGAGCCACCACCACAACCAGTACACCCTGATGCCTTCAGTGATTAAAGGAACATCAGCCCACACAGATGGGAAAGAACCAGTGTAAGAACTCTGGCAACTCAAAAAGTTAGAGTGTTTTCTTACTTCCAAAGGACTGCACTAGCACCCCAGAAATAGTTCTCAACCACGTGGAAATGGCTAAAATAAGAGACATAGAATTCAGAACCTGGATAGGAACAAAGATCATCAAAATTCAGGAGAAAGTAGAAACCCAATCAAAGAAACATAAGGAATTTAATACATCAATATAAGAGCTGAAAGATGAAATAGCCATTTTAAGAAAGAACCAAACTAAACTTCTAGAGCTAAAAATTCACTACATGAATGCCATAATATAACTGGAAGTATGAACAACAGAATAGACCAAGCTGAGGAAAGAATCTTGGAGCTCAAAGACAAGTTCTTCAAATCAACTCAGTCAGACAAAAATAAAGAAAAAATAAGAATCAATGAGCAAAACCTCTGAGAAATATGAAATTATGTAAAGAGACCAAACCTGCAACTCATTGGCATCCCTGTAAGAGAGGGAAAGAGAGCAAGAAACTTGAAAAAAATATTTGAGGATATTGTCCATGAAAATTTCCCCAACATTACTAGAGAGGTCAACCTTCAATTTCAGGAAATGCAGAGAACCCCTGTGAGACACAGGTTATGGGATAACCATCCCCAAGACACCTAGTCATCAGATTATCCAAGGTCAACACAAAAGTAAAAATACTAAAGGCAGCTAGAGAGAAGGGACAGATCACCTACAAAGGGAACCTTATCGGGCTAACAGCAAACCAGTTAGCAGAAATCCTACAAACAAGGAGAGATTGTGGGCCTACATTGAGCATCAAAAATTAAATTCCAACCAAGAATTTAATGTCCAGCTAAACTAAGCTTCTTATCTGTATCTACTTATCTGTATATCTTTATCAATATTTATTTCATCTATCTATCTATATCAAGAGTCTGATCAGATTTACCCAAATGTCTAAAATTACAGGCTTGAAGAACGCTAATATTCAATTTGCAGAGGCCCCCCATTTTCTTTAAACACAATTTCTAACTACTGCTATCTTTCCCACTTGTGGATGATAGAAGTTATCAAGTTAAAGAAACACATCCCATGCTCATGGATGGGTAGAATCAATATTGTGAAAATGACCATACTGCCAAAAGCAGTCTACAAATTCAGTGCAATCCCCATCAAAATACCACTGTCATTTTCCGCAGAACTAGAAAAGACAATCCTAAAATTTATATGGAACAAAAGAGCCTGCACGGTCAAAGCAAGACTAAGCAAAAAGAACAAATCTGGAGGCATCTGACTTCAAACTATGCCACAGTCACCAAAACGGCATGATACTGGTATAAAAATAGGCACAGAGACCAAAGGAACAGAATAGAGAACCCAAAAATAAAGCCAAATACTTACAGCCAACTGATCTTCAACAAAGCAAACAAAAAAATAAGATGGGGAGATAATACTCTATTCAACAAATCGTGCTGGAATCACATGAAAGCCACATATAGAAGAATGAAACTTGATCCTTATCTCTCACCTTATACAAAAATCAACTCAAGATGGATCAAGGACTTAAATCTAAGACCTGAAACCATAAAGATTCTAGAAGACAACATCAAAAAACCCTTCTAGACGTTGGCTTAGGCAAAGAATTCATTACCAAGAACCCCAAAGCAAATGCAACAAAAACAATGAAAAATAGGTGGGACTTAATTAAACTAAGAAGTTTCTGAATGGCAAAAGAAACAGTCAGAAGAGTAAACAGACAACTCACAGAGTGGAAGAAAATCTTCACAATCTATACATCCAACAAAGGACTAATATCGAGAATCTACAAATAACTCAAACAATGATAGACAGGATAAAGAAAATGTGGCACATATACACCATGGAATACTATGCAGCCATAAAAAAGGATGAGTTCATGTCCTTTGTAGGGACATGGATGAAGCTGGAAACCATCATTCTCAGCAAACTGACACAAGAACAGAAAACCAAACACTGCATGTTCTCACTCATAAGTGGAAGTTGAACAATGAGAACACATGTACACAGGGAGGGGAACATCACACACTGGGGCCTGTTGAGGGGGTGAGGGGCTAGGGGAGGGATAGTATTAGGAGAAATACCTAATGTAGATGATGGGTTGATGGGTGCAGCAAATCACCATGGCACGTGTGTACCTATGTAACAAACCTGCACATTTTGCACATGTATCCCAGAACATAAAGTATAATTTAAAAAAAAAATTTTAAAGAACTCAAACAAATTAGCAAGGAAAAAACAAACAATCCCATAAAAAATTATGAATGGACAATTCTCAAAAGAAGATATATAAATGGCCAACAAACATATGAAAAAATGTTCAGCATCACTAATGATGAGGTAAATGCAAATCAAAACCGCAATGCGCAAAACCACCTTGCTCCTGCAAGAATGGCCATAATAAAAAAATAATGGATGTTGTTGGGGATGCAGTGAAAAGGGAATATTTTTACACTGCTGGTGGAAATGTAAACTAGTACAAACATTATTAAAAAACAGTGTGGAGATTCCTTAAAGAGCTGAAAGTAGAACTACCACTTGATCCAGCAATCCCACTACTCAGCATCTACCCAGAGTAAAAGAAGTCATTATACAAAACAGATACTTGCACAGGCATGTTTATAGCAGCACAATTCACAATTGCCAAAATATGTAACCAGCCCAAATGTCCATCAATCAATGAGTGGATAAAGAAATTGTGATATACATATATATAATGGAATGCTATTCAGCCATTTAAAAGGAATGAAGTGACGGCATTCACAGCAACCTGGATGGAATTGGAGACCACTATTCTAAGTGAAGTAACTCAGGAATGGGAAACGAAACATCATATGTTCTCACTCATAAGTGAGAGTTAAGCTATGAGGATGCATAGGCATAAGAATGATACAGTGGACTTTGGGGACTTGGGGGAATGTAGGGGAGGGGGATGAGTGATAAAAGACTATAAATTGGCTACAGTGTATACTGCTCAGGTGATGGGTTCACCAAAATCTCACAAATCACCACAACTTACTGATGTAACCAACTACTACCTGTTTCCCAAAAACCTTTGGAAATAAGAAAAAAAATTTTAAAGTTCATGACAGAATAGGAAAAAAAAAAAGACTCAGAAACTAAAGGCCCGACTTAAAAAAAAAAAGAAGTTACCAAGTCAATCATGTTTCTCTGATTCAAATTGATATTAGTTTTATGACATGAAGAACCATAATTGATAAGTCAAAACTTTAAAATCATTTGTGGAAAAGTAATGATTTTAAAGAGTCTAAATCCATAGACTCCCATCTGATTAAAGCTATCTCTTATTATTCATTTTCAACTCCCTATAAAAGATGTTTCCTTTCATGCATATTCCTTTTGCCTACCACCATCTAAAATAATAATTTTGATTTGAAATAGTAATTTAGCTTTTAGTAACCAGAAAGAGAAATGTAAAGTCCTCTGAAATATAACTTACACTCAGTTTATAGAAAAGCTGCCTTTAAAATGGCCAGTGCAATATCAGACACAGAGACTCAGCAGGTAAAAGGCACATGGATGGACAGCACAGCTGCAGCCATTTATTTGCAGGGAGAAAGACTGCATCCTGAGGTTTGCCTTGTCAGAATTTCTTACAGGCTCTTCACAAAGGTGAAAGATATTTATTCTTTGGCATGCCAAGTGAATTTCTCCACAGTGCTCTGCTATGTGGTTAGAAGTTTGTCTACTGTCCAAATTCAACCCCTTATTAAAAATATCATTGAATAATAAAAATATCTGGTGTCTTTGAATATATAATATCACTTACTAGTTTTATTAATTCATACCTCAATAATGAATTACACTCCTCTAATTATGTGGAAATTAACTTTTCATTAAAGTGGCAATTCTATACCTATTTTTCTTTCTTGTCAAGTCCAGAACCATGATTTAGACATATGAAATACTGTTCTCATCAAGGATTGGTTCTGTCTTGTATTTTGTTTCAATGAAAATATTAAAAGAGAAAGTAATTCATTTAAATTTTAGCTGTAAATGATGGGCCTTACATTTTTGTCCCCTATGAATTACTTATGGTGGTTGACAAAAATATAGATTCCTGGGATCCATACCTTGATATTATTTACTCGGTATTTATTGGGTTGGACCCAGGAATTTTCATTTTGAAAATCAACTTGGGTGATTGAGATGCAATGATTCGTAGAACACACTTTGAGTCTTATTGGAAAAATTCCCCTTGGTAGAAAATGTTTAAGTGTTTTTTTAATCCTATCTTACCAACTCCTGATTTGATACCAGAGCTTGTTTAAATTAAACCCTGTTTAAATTAAAGTCTGTTTAAATTAAAGCCTATTTCTGGTAATACAACTAGCTATGTATCCATATTAACACTGTTACTGAAACTATTTAAAGATGTTGGATGAAATATTTTAAAAAATTTAAATACATGGAAGAATAAACAAGACAGAAAAGATTTATCAGGTGAATGAAGCCATTAAAATGGTAAGAAAACTACCGAGCTATTTTTGCTCGAATATTGTTTTCCAAAGCTGGCATCATTTAGTATGTATTTTTATGATGTTGAGTGATTTGAGAACACTGCAAGCAAAAGCCAAGGCATAACCAAGATGAGATGTGAATCAGAAGACACCTTCCTCACAAAGCTGGAAAGCCAAATACCTATGCCATCAACACAGTTTCCAACCAGAAACAAACTCTGTTATATTAACATACCTACTAGAAACATACAGCTAAAGTTTCTTTGGTACTGAGCAATGCAAGATTGAAATAAACGGCAATGAAACATAATCATAAACACAAACTATTTCTTGAAGTATTTTAACCTCAAGTTCATACTGCCAAGATAAGCCATAAAAACTCAAACCTTTCATTAAGGCAGAGTACCCCCATACTGGTGGTGCCCAAACACATCTTGCAGAAGTAAATGCAAGTCCTATCCAGATAATTCCACCTTTTTTCTATCTTTCAAATAATCCCAACAATTATTTTTAAGGAGTTTTAGCAGCTCTCTGTCAAAAACTAATTGACATAAAAGAAAAGAATACAAAACAGAATGCTATGTATGAGGTATCAGAAAAATAAAACAATAGAAACATGTCCACAAAGACTTCATTTCGTTGACTTATCTGATTCAAATTTTAAAATAACTATGTTTACAATATTTAGGAAATATATGACAAGCATGAAAATATCTGCAAAGAAGTGTAAATCATAAAAATGATGTAACAGATTTGAAAAAGTAAAAAATGTAAATTATAAATATGAGAAAATATTTAAAAATGGTAATAGATGACCATAACAGCATATTTTAGGCACAACAAAGCAGTTTAGAGACTGACATTACTAAGATGGTGGACTAGGAAGCTCCAGGACCTTGTTTTTCCATCAAAACACCAAACAAACAAACAAACACATACATATTAGCTAAAATAACTTCATGGGAGCTCTGGAACACAATCTAGTATCTATAACAACCAAGCCAATGCTCAATCAAGACACATTCAAAACGGTAGAAAATTTTATAACACTTTTACTCACTCTTGCCACACGCCCTCTCCAGCATAGTGCAGCAAGGTCAGGAAGAAGCGGCTTATTTCCTGGTTCCCTCCCTTGTGACGGAAATAACAGAATGGAAATAGTTGTCAATGTTTTAGTCTATCTGTGGGCTGCCAGAGTGACTGGTCTATCTTATTAAACTTAAAGTTCAAATGGAATTGATGGCACATTTGATTAATGTCTAAAGATGAAAGTCACAGAAGGCAGTGGTTACTGCTGTGGTGCATGAAAACCACAGGGGAACTTCAGACCTGTAGATGTCTGGGATCAAGAGATTACAGACAAATATATGCAATAGAACACCTAAGTTCCCCACAAAATCTTGGGTGAGAATATTTTAAAATTTAAGGCTTTTAAAACTATCCAGGGGGAAAACAGAAAAGAGTACCTAGACAGGCCCAGAAATGAAGCATACCTAGGAAAAGAAGACTCAAGCCTTCACCCCAGGCTGATTTCAATATTCAGAGGCCCACTGATTAGTAAAAGTCTTCCATAACAATCTGTAAAGAATCAGAGGGGGCCGGGCGCAGTGACTCACGCCTGTAATCCCAGCACTTTGGGAGGCCAAGGCCGGCAGATCACGAGGTCAGGAGATTGAGACCATGCTGGCTAACACAGTGAAACCCCGTCTCTACTAAAAATACAAAAAATCATAGCCGGGCACGGCGGTGGGCGCCTGTAGTCCCAGCTACTTGGGAGGCTGAGGCAGGAGAATGGCGTGAACCCAGGAGGCGGAGCTTACAGTGAGCAGAGATCACACCACTGCATTCCAGCCTGGGCGACAGAGGGAGACTCAGTATCAAAAAAAAAAAAAAAAAAAAAAGAATCAGAGGGGTAGATGATTCTTCAAATGTTTAAATATCACCGAAAATTCACAAGGGATATTAAAAAAAAAAAAAAAAAAAAAAAAAAACAGAAAAATATGGCCCATTCAAAGGAACAAAAATAAATCTCCAGAAATAGTCTCTGAGGAAACACATGCTAAGACTTAATAAATGAAGGCTTTAAACAACTGTCTTAAATAGGTAGGGGGAAACATACACAAAGAAATAAATAAAAATAAGAAAATGATACATGAAGTAAATGAGAATATCAACAAAGAGATAGAAATTACTTAAAAACAAACAGAAATTCATGAGCCGAAAAATACAATAGGTTTACTGAAAAATTCACTAGAATGATAAAATAGATAACTCAAAAAGGCAGAGAAAATAATCAGTGAACTTGAAAACAGGTCATTAGAAATTATGAAGCCTGAGGGAAAAAAATGAATACAAAAAAAATACTTGTAGCACAGTATAAACCAGACAAATATATAAGTCATGAAAGTCTTTGAAGGAAAAGAGAAGTAGAAAAAGGAGCAGAAAGCTTATTTAAAGAAATAATGGCTGAAAACTTCCCAAACTTAAGGAAAGACATGAATACACAAATGCAAGAAGTTTAATTAACTCCAAATAGGATTAACTGAAAGACACCCACATTATGACACATTAAAATCGAACTGTCAAGAGACAAATCAATGAGAGAATTCTGAAAGCAGCAAGAGAAAAATGACTTGTCACATTCAAGGGATTCCCCATAAGATTTCACTGGATTTCTCAGCAGAAACTTTGCAGGCCAGGAGCACTGAGATAACATATTTAAAGAGCTGAAAGAAAAAAAAACCAAAAACACTTTTAACCAGGAATTCTATATTTGGTAAAGGTATTCTCCAAAAAAATAGGGAAATTATGATATGCCAAGATGAACAAAAGATGAGGGGACTAATTAAATCTAGACCAGTCTGTCCTATAAGAAATGCTAAAGAAAGTCCTTCAAGATGGAACAAAAGGATGTCAGACAGAAACTGAAAGCTACACAAATAAAATGTTCTCCAGTAAAAAGTAAGTAAACGGATAAATATGAAAATGTGTATTGTCATAATTTTGGTTGTAACTTCGCTTTTTAATTTTAACAGAACTTTAAAGATAAAAGCATAAACAATGATAAATCTATTTTACAGGGTGCACAATATATAAAGATATAACTTGTGGTGATCAATAACATGGGAGATAGAGCTGCAAAGTTTTTTTTTAAGTGTTGGAAATTAAATTGGCAATTAAAGATTGATTATTATAACTATATGAAGATAAATATAATCTTTCTGCTAACCTCAAAGAAAATATCTATAGAATATATAAACAAAAGAAAATAAGATTTTCAAAATATACCCCCACTCCCCAAAATCAAATAAACTAGAGGAAGACAGACATAAAGAACAGGGACAAAAAAAACCTGTAAGACATACAAAAAAAAAAAAATGGAATAAGTAAGAGTTTCTCTATTTGTAATTACTTTAAATGTAAGTATATTAAACACCATCATCAAAATATGTAGACTGGTAGAATAAATTTTTAAAAAACATAATTAAACTATATGTCATCTATAAAAAACTCACTTTAAATGTAAGGACATACATAGATTGAAAGTGAAAGGAGGAAAAAACATATTCCATGTAAATAGTAACCCAAAAAGAGCAAAGGTTATTATACTAATATTAGACAAAATAGACTTTAAGTTACAAACTGTTACAAGCAAAAAAGAAGGGCAATACCTATTGATGAAACGATCAATTCACATAGAAGAGATAATAAGCATATACGCATTGAACATCAGGGCACAGATATGTATCAAGCAAACACTGACAGGAATAAAGGGAAATATGAACATACTTACATGAATAGTAGGAAAAATTAACCCTACTTGTGTCAGTGGCTTCAACATCCAAACAAATGATCAAAAAGGAAATAGAAGACCTAAACAACACTATAAAGCAATTGGTACTAAAAACGTAAAAAAGTCATCTCACCAAAAACCAACAAAATACACTTTTTTCTCAAGTTCACATGGAACATATTCTGGGAGGTACCAAATGTTAGGTGACAAAATGAGTCTTCATAAATTAAAAAGAAAAAAATAAAATCAAACACAGCATCTTTTCTGATCACAATGGAATGAAACTAGAAATAAGCAGCAGAATTAAAACCATAAAATCTACCATTATGTGGAAATTAAACAACTCTCACTTAAACAACAAATAGGTCAAAGAAGAATTCACAAGGGAAATTACAAATTATCTTGACACAAATTGAAATGAAAAGACAACATATTCAAATGTTTGGGATGCAACAGAAGCAGTCTTAAAAGGGATATTAAGAGCTATAAATACTTACATTAAGAAAGTAGTAAGACCTCAATTTTGTCAACCTAATCTTGACGCTATAAGGAACTAGAAATACAGAAACAAACTAAACCCAAAGTTGGCAGAAGGAAGAAAATAAAAAAGAGTAGATTAGAGATAAAATAGAGATTAGAAAAACAATATAAGAAATCAACAAAAACAAGAGTTGGCTCTTCAAAAAGATTAATATATTTAACTATTATTCAGCTAAATTAAGAAAATAGAGAGAAGACTCAAAAACCTAAAACCAGAAATAAGAGGGGAACATTACCTAAGTGGGATTTATACCAGGGATGCAAGGATGGTTCAACATATGAAAATTAATGTATATGATATGCTATATCAATGGAATAAAGGACAAAAACCAGGAATAATTTCAATTGATGCTGAAAAAATGTGATAAATGTCAACATCCCTTCATGATAAAAACTCTAAAAACAAACTGGGTACAGAAAGAACATACCCCAACATAATAAAAGCCATATATGACAAACCTATGGCAAGTATCATACTGAATGGGTAAAAACAGAAATCCTTTTCTAAGTTCAGGAACACGACAAGGATGCCCACTTTTACCAATGTTATTCAATAATATAGTCCTTGAAGTCCTAGCTAGAACAGTCAGATAAGAGAAGGAAATAAAGGGAATACAAATTGGAATGGAAGAAGTGAGATTATCCCTGTTTGCAGATGATATGATCTTATATTTGGAAAAACCTGAAGACTCCACCAAAAAACTATTAGAAAGACATTCAGTAAAGTTGCAGGATACAACATCAACATACAAAAATTATTGAAATGTCTATATGCCAGCAGTGACCATTATGGAAAAAATAATCTTACGATAACTACAAGTAAAATAAAATACATAGGAATAAACTTAACCAAAGAAGTGAAAGATTCTACAATAAAAACTATAAAACACTGATGCAAGAAATAGAAGAAGACACACAAATATGGAAAGATATTCCATGTTCACTGATTGAAATAATATTATTAAAATGTCATGCTATGCAAAGCAAACTACAGATCCAATGCAATCCTTATCAAAATACTAATGACATTTTTCAGGGAAATAAATAATTATAAAATTTATATAGAACTACAAAATTCCTCCTGGAATAGTCAATGCTATCCTGAGCAAAACAACAAAACTGGAGGAATCACATTACCTGACCTCAAATTATACCACAGAGCTACATTAATAAAAATGGCATAGTACTGGCATAAAAACAGACACATAGGCAAATGAATCAGAATAAAGATCCTAGAGCCAAATCCATACACCTACAGTGAACTCATTTTTAACAAATGTACCAAGAACATACATAGGGGAAAGAGCAGTCTCCTCCATAAATGTTGCTGGAAAAAAACTGTATATCCATATGCAGAAGAATGAAACCAGACTTTTATCTCTTGCTATATATAAAAATAAAATCAAAATGGACTAAATACTTAAATATAATACCTTACATTATAAAACTCCTACAAGAAAACATTGAAGAAACTCTCTAGGACATTGATCTTGGCAAAGATGTCTTGAGTAGTAGCTCACAAACACCAGTCAGCAAAGCAAAAATGAACAAATGGGTTCTCATCTAGTTAAAAAACCTTCTGCACAGCAAAGGAAAAAAAGAAAGTATCTTCAATAAACACTTTCAAGAAACAGTTTGAAATGTTCAAGAAAGTGAAGAGACAACCCATAGAATGGGAGAAAATATTTCTAAACTACCAATTTGACAAGGGATTTATAACCATAATATATAAGAAGCTCAAACAACTCTATAGGAAATATTCTAATACTCTGATTAAAAAATGGAAAAAAAATCTGAATAGGCATTTCTGAACAGAAGACATAAAAAAGGCAAACAGGTATATGAAAAGGTGCTCAACATCATTGATCATCACAAAATGAAAATTAAAACTATAGTGAGGTGTCATCTCAATGCAGTTAAAATGGCTTTTATCTAAAAGTCAGCCAATAACAAATTCTGGCAAGGTTGCAGAGAAAAGGGAACCCTTATACACCGTTGGTGGGAATGTAAGTTAGCACGACCACTGGGGAGAACAGTTTAGAAGTTCCCCAGAAAACTAAAAATAGAGCTACCATATGTTCCAGCTCCTAGGTATATACATCCCACTCCTAGGTATATACCCAAAAGAAAGGAAATCAGTATATCCAAGTGATGTCTCCACTTCTATGTTCATTGCAGCCCTATTCACAATAGCTGAGATTTGGAAGCAACCTAAGTGTCCATCAACAGATAAACAGATGGACAGATAAACAACAGACAAAGAAAATGTAGTATATATTACACCATGGAATACTACTCAGCCATAAAACAGAATGAGATCCTGTTATTTTCAACAACATAGATGGAACTAGGGGTCACTATGTTAACTGAAATAAGTCAGGCACAGAAAGGTAAACTTCACATGTTATCACTTATTTGTGAAAGCTAAAAATTAAAATAATTGAACTCATGGGGATACAGAGAAGAGAGACTGGGAAGTGTAGTGGGGTGGGGGTGGGGGTGGGGTTGAGAGGAAGTGGAGATGGTTAATGGGTACAAAAAATAGTCTGAAAGAATGAATAAGATCTAGTATGTCCTAGCATAGCAGGTGGACTATAGTAAAAGATAATTTCATTGTACACTTTAAAATTACTAAAATAGTTTAATTGGATTATTTGTAACACAAAGAATAAGTGCTTGTGGTCATAGATTCCCTATTTACCCTGATGTGATTATTACACTTTGCATGCCTATATCAAAATATCTCATGTAGTCCATAAGTATATATACCTACTATGTACACACAAAAGTTAAATACTTAAAAAAAATGTGCTAGTTGTTTTCAGTTTCTGAGACTAAGTCTACCTTCTGGTCTTCTGGTCTTTCCTGGTCATAGGCATGGTCTTTCTAGAAAGGTCTCTGATTGGGACCTTGATTTGTTTTAGTCTCCTGGGTCCTTTAGGAAATCTAGTTCTGCCCTTTAAATGTTCTAGCTTAGTTTGCTAAATTCTTACCTCTGATTGATTCAGTACTGGCACACGGCCATATACTTGGAGAATGTATTTATTTCCTAAGCCCAGAAAAATCAGGAAGACTTTTTTCTGCCTTTTAGAAACTTTCTGCTTAGTTTTCTAGCCACCTGCACTGCACCAGAATTAAGGAAATGTCTCATATTGAATCTTGACTTTGTGTTTTGGTTTCTTTAATTGTTCAATTTGCCATATTAGCCAGCTGCAAAGAACCACAGAAAGCTTTTCTGATTTTCCTGTTAGCAGGGGCATTCTGCCTAGGGTAGTTTGCAACCTGGGAAAGTCGGATACATTTGGTACACAGAGAATAGGTATACTCCCAGGGAAGTAATAACTGGAGATAATCAACTCATCCCAGAAAATGCCTCCCACACCTTTTAAAAAATATATTTTAGTTCGCTTACTTATCCTTGCTTTTACATCTCTGATTCCTTTAAAAATATGTTTTGTAATTTATCAGGCTGTTTCTACTTGTTGTGGTGGTACTATTGGCCTGAAACTACAAACATGTTATTCAGAATCAGAAGTCAGATCATGGGAATTGTAGGGTTTTCTTTTCTTTTCTTTTCTTTTTTTTTTTTTGCACATTTTTCAATTATATGGTTTAAAATTATTTACTTATTGCCAGTTTCCTACATGATAAACTTGTTTTTGAAAACATCTTGCTTTTTCAGTAAACACTCTCTTTTTATAATCTATTTTCTTTCTAAATGTTTTTTAAACATGGAAGTAGAGGCTGGGCTGAGAAAAAAATGGCAGATAAGAGACAGGACTAATGTGCAGCTCCCACTTGAACAGACAGAAGAGTGTATGGAGACTCATGTTGTGAACTTTTGCTCCAAAAACCATTGCAAGGACATACCAGGAAAACCAAAAGAATTCACAGACACTTTGAAATAAGCAGCTTGCTGCTGCAAACTCTGTGAGACAGTCAAAAAACTGTGAGTCCCCAAAGTGTGAGAGGGGGAAAAATCTGACTGCAAATAAACATCCTCACTGGAGTAACTAAAAATCCAGATCATGGGAGAAGGAACTAACCTTACCTAGAGCTGAAATGGATTTAGGGAGATGAGCAAAATACAAAAGCAGAAGTAGCAGGCAGTGGGAAGAGCCCTGTAGGCACTCCCAGTCCCAAGCTCTAGCTCAGGGAAGCTATCCCTGGCTATATTTCATAGCAGTCCTCAGGGAAGGCAGCCAGTGGAACTGCAGAGGGGCCACAGGGTGAAGGAGGCTCCTTGCTGAAATTTGTATTAATTTTGACTGAGCATGATTTTTTTCTGAGCAGAATGCGGGGGCAAATGGGAAGTGCAAATATGATTGCAGAAGCCACAGCCAACAGTGAAGGCAGGCAGAGAGGGGTGAGAACTGAGAGCCCTCTTTGCTTTCTCTCCAGGGAAGCATGTAGCCTGGGGCAAGATCTCAGTCCTGCTCACAGATTGCCTGAATATACACTTGTGCTGTTGGCAGGGCACAGCAGCAGGAGTGAGACTGGCCTTGCTGGCTGTGTGGGAGATGAGTGAGGCCTCTCATTGCCAGCTTTCCCCCACTTCCCTGGCAACCTGTATGTATCACACAACTGAGGCAGTCATATTCCCCCTGGGAGCATAACCCCATTAGCCTGAGAACCAGCCCCCACCCACAATGGCTGCTGCAAGCTCTGGGCAAGGAGAGTCTGAGCTCAGATCCGCCTAACCTTGCCCCCAATGGATGGTGTTACCCTACTCGCCCTGGTAGCAAAAGACAAAAGACATAAACTCTTGGGAGGTCTATGGCCCTGCCCATCACCTGAAAAAACTGAATACTTATCCTAGTCAGTACAGGGCAAGATATTGTCCCCCTTCTACCATCTCAGCTGGTGCTCTCTTGAAAGCAACATCTCCTGGCTGGAGACCAATCAATTCAAGCCATTACAGCAACTCATAACAGAACAACCCTGTTCCAAAGAATGAGAAAACAACAGATAATTCCACCACCCGCAATACCCTGGCTAATCATAGTCCTGATTCTGTCCACATGACAACTTCACTGCTAGCATAACCGGCATTCAAGAAAACCAGTGCACTAAATAAAACTACAAGCAAGGACTCCCACAGAGTTCACTTTACCCCCCTGTCAGCTTCATTGGAACAGGTGCTGGTATCAATGTCTGGGAGACCTGAAGACAGATCACATCACAGGACTCTTTGCAGACATTCCCCAGCACCAGCCCAGAGGATGATACCCTCTCTGGGTGGCTAGAACCAGAAGTGAAATAATAATCACTACAGTCTGGCTCTCAGGAAGCCCCATTTCTAGGGGAAGGAGGAGAGCACTACATCAAGGAATTACCACGTGGGAGAAAATAATCTGAATAGCGGCACTTGAGTTCCAGATCTTTCCACTAAAATAGTCTACCCAAATGAGAAGGAACCAGAAATATAATCCTGTAACAGAAAAAACAAGGTTCTATAGGATCCCCAAAAGATCACACTAGCTCTCTAGCAATGAATCCAAATCAAGTAGAAATCTCTGAATTGCCAGGTAAAAAATTCAGAAGGTTGATTATTAAGCTACTCAAGGAGGTACCAGCGAAAGGTGAAATCCAGCTTAAAGAAATTGAAAAAACAATACAGAATATGGATGAAAATGTCTCCAGAGAAATAGATATCATAAAGAAAAGATAATCACAACTTCTGGAAATGAAACACAAACCTAGAGATATGCAAAATTCACTGGAAAGTTTTAACAATAGAATCAAACAAGTAGAAAAACTAACTTAAAAAATGAACACAACCTTCAAGATATTTGAGATAATGTTAAATGACCAAATGTAAGAATAATTGGTGTTCCTGAGGAAGAAGAGAAATCTAAAAATTTTGAAAATTTACTTGAGGAAATAATCAGGAAAAACTTCCCTGGTCTTTCTAGAGATCTAGACATCCAAATAAAAGAAGCTCAAAGAACACCTGGGAAATTCATCACAAAAAGATTATAGCCTAGGCACATAGTCGTCAGGTTATCTAAAGTCAAGACAAAGGAAAGAATCTTAAGAAATGTGATGCAAAAGCATCAGGTAACTTATAAAAGAAAATTTATCAGATTAATGGTAAATTTATCAGCAGAAAACCTACAAGCCAGAAGGGATTGTGGTTCTATCGTTAGCCATCTTAAACAAAATAATTATCAGCCAAGAATTTTGCATCCAGCAAAACTAAGCTTCAAAAATGAAGGAGAGATAAAGTCTTTTTCAGACAAACAAATGCTGAGATAATTGACCACTACCAAGCCAGCACAACTAGAAATGCTAAAAGAGGTTCTAAATCTTGAAACAAAACCATAAAATACACCAAAATAGAACCTCCTTAAAGCATAAATCTCACAGGGCCTGCAAAACAATTGCTTAATGAAGAAAAACCCAAGGTCTTCAGGCAACAACTAGCATGATGTATAGAACAATACCTCACATCTCAATACTAATGTTGAATGTAAATAAAATAGCAATCCACTTAAAATTTACAGAATGGCAGAATGGATAAAAATCCACCAATCAAGTATCTCCTGTCTTCAAGATACTCACCTAACACATAAGGACTCACATAAACTTAAGGTAAAGCGGTGGAAAAAGACATTTCATGCAAATGGAAAACAAAAGCAATAAGAAGTAGCTATTCTGATATCAGACAAAACAGACTTTAAAGCAACAATGGTTAAAAAGGACAAAGAGGGACATTATATAATGATAGAAATATTAATCCAGCAGGAAAATATCACAATCCTAAATATATATGCACCTGACACTGGAGCTCCCAATTTTTGAAACAATTACTACTAAACCTAAGAAATGAGATAGATGGTGACTCAATAATTGTGGGGGACTTTAATACTCCACTGTCAACACTAGAAAAGTAATCAAGACAGAAAGTCAACAAAGAAATAATGAACTTAAATTATACCCTAGAAAAAATGAACTTAACAGATATTTATAAAACATTCTACACAACAACTGCAGAATATACATTCTTTTCATCAGCAAATGGGACATTCTCTTCATCAGCATATGGAACAGTCTCCAAGATAGATGAAAGAATAGGCCATAAAACAAGTCTCAATAAATTTAAGAAATTCAAAATTATATCAACTATTCTCTCAGACCATAATGCAATAAAATTGGAAATAAACTGCAAAAGGAATCCTAAAATCTACATAAACACATGGAATTTAAGTAATCTGCTCCCGGATAATCTTTGGGTCAAAAATGAAATCAAGATATTAATTAAGGAATTCTTTGAACTGAATAACAATACTGACACAACATGTCAAAACTTCTGGGATACAGCAAAAGTGGTACTAAGAGGAAACTTCATAGCATTAAATGCCTACATCAAAAAGTCTGAAAGAGTACAAATAGACAATTTAAGTTGATACCTCAGGGAATTAGAGAAACAAGAACAAACCAAACCCAAACCCACAGAAGAAAATAAATAACAAAGGTCAGAGCATAAGCAAAATGGAAACAAAAAAAAATACAAAAGATGATGAAAGAAAACCTGGTTCTTTAAAAAGATTAAAAAATAAAAAGATAGACAATTATTAGTAAGACTAGCCAAGAAAAAAAAAGAGAAGTTCCAAATATGCTCACATAGAAACAAAATGGAAGATATCACAATCGATAACACAGAAATACAAAAGATCATTGAAAGCTACTATGAACACCTTTGTGTGCACAAATTAGAAAACCTAGAGAAAATGGATAAATTCCAGGAAATATGCAACCCTCCTTCATTAAATCAGTAAGAAATAGAAACTCTGAACAGACCAATAACAAGTAGCAAGAATGAAACAGTAATAAAAAAAATGCAAACAAAGAAGTCCAAGACCAGATGGATTCACAGCTGAATTTTATCATACATTCAAAGAATAATTGGTACCAATCCTACTGAAACTATTCCAAAAGATAGAGAAAGAGTGAATCTTCCCTAAATCATTCTATGAATCCAGTATCGCCCTAATACCAAAAACAGGAAATGACATGAAAAAGAAAACTACACACCAATATGCCTGATGAATATAGATGCAAAAATCCTCAACTGACTACTAGTTAACCAAATAAAACAGTATATCAAAAAGATTATACAACATGATCAAGTGGGTTTCATAAGACAGTTGTAGGGTTGATTTAACATACACAAGTTAATAAATGTGATGCACAGCATCAGCAGAATTAAAAAACAAAAGTCATATGCTCATCTCAATAGATGCAGAAAAGGCATTTGACAAAATCCAGCATACATTTATAATTACAACCATCAGCAAAATTGGTGTAGAAAGGACTTACCTTAAGGTAGTAGAGGCCATCTCTGACAAACCCACAGCCAACATTATACTGAACAGGGAAAAGTTGAAAGCATTCCTCCTGAGAACTGGAACAAGACAAGAATGCCCACTTTTACCACTTCTATTCAACATAGTATTGGAAGTCCTAGCCAGAGCAATCAGACAAGAGAAAGAAATAAAAGGCATCCAAATCAGTAAAGAAGAAGTCAAACTGTCACTCTTTGCTGATAATATGATTGTATACCTAGAAAACCCTAAAGACTCATCCAAAAAGCTCCTAGATCTGATAAATGAATTCAGTAAAGTCTCAGGATAAAAAATCAATGTACCAAAATCAGTAGCACTGCTATACACCAACAGTGACCAAGCTGAGAATCAAATAAAAAACTCATTCCCTTTTTACAACAGCTGCAAAAATAAAATAAAATAAAATACTTAGGAATGTACCTAACCAAAGATGTGAAAGATCTGTATAAGGAAAACTACAAAACACAGCTGAAAGAAATCATATATGACACAAATGGAAACACATCCCATGCCCCTGGAAGGGTAGAATCAATAGTGTGAAAATAAGCATACTGCCAAAAGCAATCTAAAAATTTAATGAAATTTCCATCAAAACACCATCATCATTATTCACAGAACTAGAAAAAAATACTAAAATTAATATGGAAACAAAAAAGAGTTCCCATATCCAAAGCAAGACTAAGCACACACACACAAAAAATCTGGAGGCATCGCATTACCCAACTTCAAACTATACTATAAGGCTATAGTTACCAAAACAGCATGATACTGGTATAAAAAGAGGCACATGAATGATATAACAGAATAGAGAACTCAGAAATAAAGCCAAATACTTACAGCCAACTGATCTTTGACAAAGTACACAAAAACATAAAGTGGGGAAAGGACACCCTATTCAACACATAGCGCTGGGATAATTGCCAAGCCACATATAGAAGAGTAAAACTAGATCCTCATCTTTCACTTTACACGAAAATCAACTCAAGATGGATCAAAGACTTAAATCCAAGACTAGAAACCATATAAATTCTAGAAGATAACATCTGAAAATCTTTTTTTTTTTTTTTTTTTTTTTTTTTTTGAGATGGAGTCTCGCTCTGTCACGCAGGCTGGAGTGCAGTTGTGTGATCTCGGCTCACTGCAACCTCCCCCTCCCTAGTTCAAGCAATTCCCCAGCCTCAGCCTCCCGAGTAGCTGGGATTACAGGCGTATGCCACCAAGCCCGGCTATTTCTTTCTTTCTTTCTTTCTTTCTTTTTTTTTTTTTGTGTGTGTGTTTTTAGCAGAGATGGGGTTTCACCATTTGGGCCAGACTGGTCTCGAACTTCTGACCTCAGGCAATCCACCCACCTCAGCCTCCCAAAGTGCTAGGATTACAGGGGTGAGCCACCGTGCCCAGCCTGGAAAAACTTTTCTAGACATTGGCTTAGGCAGAGTTCATGACCAAGAACCCAAAAGCAAATGCAACAAAAACAAAGATAAATAGATGGGACTTAAACTAAAAACTTCTGCATTGCAAAATAAATAATCAGTAGGATAAAAGGATTAAAGAATAATCAGTAGGATAAATGGACAACCCACGGAATGGGAGAAATTATTCACAAACCATGCCTCCAACAAAGTACTAGTATCCAGAATCTATAAGGAACTCAAACAAATCAGCAAGAACCAAAAGAAATAATCCCATCAGAAAGTGGGCTAAAAACATGAATAAACAACTCTCAAAAGAAGATATATAAATGACCAGCAAACATATGAAAAAAATGCTAAACATCACTAATGTTGATCAGGTAAATGCAAATCAAAACCGCAATATGATACCACCTTACTCCTCCAAAAATAGTCATAATTTAAAAAGAATACAAAAAATAATAGATGCTGGCATGGATGTGGTGAAAAGGGAACACTTTTACATTGCTGGTGGAGATGTAAACTAGTACAACCACTATGGAAAACAGTATGAATTCCTTAAAGAGCTAATAGTAGAACTACCACTTGATCCAGTGATCTCACTCGTGGGTATCTACTAAGAGGAAAAGAAGTCATTATATGAAAAAGATACTTGCACAGGCACATTTATAGCAGCACGATTCGCAATTGCAAAAATATGGAACCAGCCTAAATGCCCATCAACCAACGAATGGATAAACAAATATGGTATATATATTCCGTGGAATACTACTCAGCAATAAAAATGAAAGAAATAATGGCATTCGCAGCAACCTGGATGGTGCTGGAGACTATTTTTCTAAGTGAAGTAACCCAGAAAAGGAAAACCAAACATCGTATGTTCTCACTTTTAAGTGGGACCTAAGCTATGTGGATGCAAAGGTATAAGAATGACATGATGGACTCTGGGGACTCGTGGGGAAGGATGAGAGGGGGTGAGAGATAAAAGTCTACACATTGGGTACAGTGTACACTGCTGGGGTGATGAGTGCACCAAAGTCTCAGAAATCACCATTAAAGTACTTTTCCATGTAACAAAACACAACCTCTTTCCCAAAAACTATTGAAATTTTTAAAAAATGGAAGTAGAGAGTAGAATGGTGGTTATCAGAGTCTAGGAAGGGTAGGAAGCACAGGAGAATCAAGAGATTTTGGCTAATGGATACAGACATAATTAGACAGAAGCAATAAGTTCTATTGTTTTATAGCACAGCAGGGAGGCTATAGCTATCAATAATTTATTGCATATTTCAAAATAGCTAGAAGAGAAAATTTATTTTTTTTATTTTTGAGGAATATACTTTAACAGGAATTGAAAGAATTGGAATTGATGCAATTGAGTTGATAAGAGGAATTGATACAATTGGAAAGATATTAATAAACACCAGCACAGAAATCACTAGTCTGTCTCTGAATGCAGATTTTCTCCATTCCAGAAACACAAGGTCTTCATCTTAGTTATGCTATGACAAACTGACACAAAGAAATAATGAATGTTGGAGGTGATGTATATGCTAAATACCCTGATTTAAACATTATGCATTATATGCATGGATCTAAATATCACATGTACCCCTTAAATATATACAATTATTATGTATCAATAACACTAATAAACTGTAAAGAAGAATAGTTTTTATTAAAATTTTAATATTGTAAATGATACATTTAATTTTCTCATAGAGCAATCATGTATTGTGCTTTCTTTCTTTTTAAGTAAAACAAAACAAAAATCCAAACATTTTGTGCACTTCAGTTTCTTCTTGAAATTTGTTTTTCTAAAGCTAGATATGAAACTGGATTAAATTGGTAAATAATTTTAATACAATGATTTTTAACTCTAGTTTTAATAAAATAACTGTTTAACTCTTATCACATATTTAATGTATGGTGTGGCATCTTTGCCAGAAGGTTAGAGACAGTGTAAAATAGGAATAAGAACTTATTGCAGTAGAAAGGTTCCTTGGCTTTTTGCTTGTTTTTCATTCTGCTATTAATACAAAGGGAAAAATGGACAATCTTGTTTATTACTGAAAAAGAATCTGATTTTTGTTCAAACATAAAATTCCACAGACAGGTAGAATAATTATTTTCTTTAGGCTCAAGTCATTTCTTACAACCAATACAAAGTCAAGCTGGAGTGGAAAATTTCAGACTAACCTCACCTACTTCTTAAACAGTTTGACCTTCTTTCAAGATTCTATGAGCTACTTACAGGGCTATGCCTACCTGTTACTAATCTGTTAGTAATCATTCCCTGTGGACTTCCCTTCTTTCAATCCCTCTTTCCTTTGGACCCCATCAGACTTTTATGTCACTTTTCTCTAATTCCCTCTGGTCATTCCTTCATTATCCATGGCCTTCTGTTAAGGTTTCTAATATTTCATGTCTTATTTTACACTGAAAACTGTTTGTAAAGCTCAAAATCCTATAGTGAAAAAAGGTGAATAAAAACTACCTTTACACGTTCAGATTCAAAACCAAAAATTAATGTATCAGTTATCTAATTGCTGCATAAAATGCGACTTCGTGACTTGAAATGAAATAGTTATCTGTTGTCATTTCCTTTATTTCTGTGTGTTTACTGGGCTTAGCTGGGTGACTCTTGTTTAGAGTTTCTCATGTAGTTGAAGTACAGTGTATAACTGGAGATGGAGGCATCCAAAGGTCAGACTGGACTGCATGTCCAAGGCGACTTTTTCACTCACATGGCTAACGTTTTAGTTGGGATGTTGGGAAGACATGAGAATTGGCTAGGCATCTTATTCTTCCTCTCCGGACTCTCCACATGGCTGGCTTGAGCTTTGTTACTGCAAAGAGCTTTCAAGTTGTCAATTCTTGCATGGTGGCTGGCTTCTGTCAGGTAATATGTTGCCAGATATCAATGCAGAAGCTAGAAGGTTTACTATAACCTAGCCTTGGATGTTTCTCACTGTTACTTTTACTACATTCTATTTGTTACACATAGCCAGCTCAATTTCAGTGTTGAAGGGGATTATACCAGCTCTTAACAGATGGTGTGTTTCATTGGGATGCCACTTTTGAATAATGGCTACTGCAAGCTACGAGATGGGCCACTGTGTAAAGAATTTTAGGTTGTCACCAAACCTTGAGATCCTGTTAGCAGTACCCTCTGTAGGTCTAGAAAAACAAACATTTATGTTTGCTTTTAAAGCTATTAACTTAACCCTGTCTGCAGAAGGATACTTCATATTACATACGAGTGACAAAAACATGAAATATTACGTTGTTGGAAATCTGGACAGATAAAATGGAATAGAAACAAATGTGGTGAGGCCAAATAGCAACAACTGCACATACATCTACCCAACGTAGAGAATAAATGGAAAATGTGGAGAATATTTTGAAAACTATCTAAAATTTTTTTCTTGTTTAAGTTATGAAATGGAAAGCAGACTTATGAAGCTGATAAATGTATCCTGCAGGAACAAAGAATAAAGTGTTTGCAGCATCAAGATTTATGAACAGTAGGAGTATATACATTTTCACGTATTCATCGACGTAAAAATGCCAGTCATTTCTTAGGTTTTTTTTGTGTGTGTTTTTTTTTTTTTGTATTCTCATTCCAAATTGGATTACAGTCTCTAAGGATGCCTGTTAAAGAAAGGTTTTTGAACCCACATTTTAGATTTGTAAGAGAGAACATAACATGGCTGTAAGTTTAATTGCTGTATTTCTGTCTAAAAGCCTTAATGTCCCCTTTGATCAAATTCAAATCCTAACAAATGTATGATTGTTGTCTTTACAAATTTGATTTTATTTAAATTTGCATGGATTTTATGAAACAATGTGTTACCTAAAAGTTAGCCAAACCATCATCAAGTGTTTATTTACTCATACAGTTGACAGTAAAACCCTCAACATGTAGGAAGCAATATTTGATTGAGTTAACATTTCAAAAAGATAAAACATTACCTTTATATCAAGATTCTTTGGGGTTAGATTTAGCTTCCTAAAATAATTTTCCCAGTTGTGTTCATCGTTTAAGTTTCCCTGTAGTTACCTTAATTTAAAGTTTGAAGAATATCCAGGAAAAACAGCTTTTGATAGGTTTAATCAAGAGCACATTCATTTAATGTATATAGTGAAGTTTCAAATATGAGGAAATGGCTGTTAATAGTGGTTAGAACACACCTACAATTTAGGCTTTTAGCTTACTTCTCTGTTTTCGTTGTTGTTGTTTTTGTTTTGTTTTGTTTTTTTCAGGAACAAGTCCCTATGATTACAGTTGGTAGATATCAGAAAAACATCTATCACAAATAAGCACCTGAAACTTTGATTGGGTTCCAAGTGCTTCTTTCTTAGGAAAATATTTTTTTATGAATTGTTTTGGATTTTTTGGACGAAATTTCCGTGTCAAATATTTTCGCTTTTTTTTTCTAGATTTTTAGTTTGCCACTTTGAAATTGCAGTTGTTTATAAATAAAAAATAATAATAAATTAATTTCCTAGAGTATTTACAGTTTTAGGCTAAAACTCCTTAATTAGACATCCGAGTGAGCAATGTGCTTGGGAAGTATGTTGATTATCATAAAATCATTCAGTCTTTTGCCTTGCAGAGTAAATTTTCCAATAAAATTTCCAAAGGTAACATCAATATAAATGAATAATTTTAAAGCCATTTTAACCTGTTAGATGAAGCAATGATAGATGCGTGTGTTCTATATGCAAAATTTTGGCGCTTTTCAATAACAAAATGTGGAGAGACGTACTCATGGTTTCCCCTCTGGAATGCTCAGCAAAAATGTGAAAGATTTTTATAATATAGACGTATACATAAAGAGTTTAAGTTAATTACTCCCATAGAAAATAAACTGAGCACTTATTCTGGCTACTCAGTGCTAGGCACTGGAGAAGACTAGGCAGGCAGCAACTATGATGTGTGAGAAATGAGTAGGGGGAGGAGGAAAAGGTTCAATGTAAGGCTGAAAAGGGTATTGAGATAAATTGTGACACCATAATAAGAAATTTGGACTTCATCTTGTAAATAACCATTGCTAAAGTGACAAGATTAGATATGGGTTTCAGAAAGGTGATTTAAACCTCATTTTGAAAGACAGATCAGAGGAAAGATGTATCTGAGAGACAACTACTTTGAAAGTTCTTGCAAGAGAAAGTCTGTCTCAGGGAAGGAAGAGTAGGAATGCAGAGGTGAAACAGACTTAAGTGGACGTAGGAAGCAAGAGAAGGCGTTTTGGGTGACACAATATATATTTTTAACTTCTTATTATCAGTTACTAGGTGACATTTCTGTATCAGGCACTGTGTGTTAAGTGTTGATGGGCCGATATCGAAGGGCAAAAAACTATCCCTGAAAGAGGCTTTCAGTTACAGGGCTTAGCTGGGTAATTTGCTTCTTTGCTTCTTTAAATTGTTTTGAAAAAATAAATGTACAGTTACTTCCCACTCTTCTTTTGGTCTCTTTTTCCACCCGTATTTCGACATATGTTAAAAAGGGGTTTCTTTACTGGTGCTATCTCCAACATCACAGTTCATCCCTGATCTGACTTTACGTATCAACAACAAAAACACTGTCAGCAGTTTGAGTTCACTTCACATGCTCTTTAGCCTAAATGTCTTTTCATTTCTGTGAACTGTTCGAACGGTTTTCCTCATTTTCTTAAAATTCTCAACTGCCTAACCACCAATACTTGTATCAGATTTAATTTAGAATTTAAGATCAGAGGAGAACTTCCTTTAAGATAAAGAGAAGTTTATTTCCCTTACTTTACGAATAAGAAAACCTAGAGAGGAAAAGTGATTTGCTCAAGTCTATAATTAAATACCCTGAGAACAACATCCCAATTTCTTGATAAAGACATTAACAGTTTTTAGCTTTAAGGCCCTTTTATAAGTTACCCATGTTTTATCTTCTTGATTTTGTTCCTCATTTATCTTCATTTTAATACATTTTCAGCTTTTTTTTTTACTCATTTACACGTCCCTTCAGCTTTGAAGAGCCATCCACTGAATAACTTTTTATTTGCCAAGCTTTCTCTCTTTCTCATATATCTCATCTTCTTTTCACAGTAATGATGATGGTAATATTAATGGGTTTGGGTCATAATCCTGAAACAGCATAATTAGGAAGCTGAAATCCTAAAATATCAAAATCCCTAAAGTCAGAATTCTTTCAGCCTAAAATATCTAATGTCTAAAATCCTGAAAATTGCATTCCCCCAAAATTAAAATCCTGAATGTTAAAATTCTGAAAACAGAATTCTGAGTAAAAGATTAGTATGTTTTTAGTTGTATACAAGATAATTGAAACATGTTAGTTGTATCATGTGAAGTGTTATTGTCTTTATTTGAAAATTATGGTTTAAGGAGATGAATATGGGTGAAAAGTTGACACGAGTGGACTTACGTACTTAATGTTAGATGTCAACTTGGCTGGATTAAGGAATACGTAGAAAATTGGTAAAGTATTACTTTGAGTGTGTCTGTGAGGGTGTTTGCAGAGGAGATTCATGAGTGAGTCTGAGTGGACTATATAGGAAAGATCTGCTGTTAGTGTTGGTGGGCACCATTCAATCAGGGGAGAGAAAATACAGAAGGCGATTTGGTCTCTCTCTGAGAACAGGGAGAGGCTTTGCTACGTTGCCTGTCAGAAATTTGACTCCACAACAGTGCATTATCACAACTTTGACTTTGTGGGTAAGCATTGTGTATGTAAAATGTTGAAACTTCCTCAATAAATGAAGAGATGTCCTTTTGTACATGTGCATTTGTGAAAGGTAAAACTTCTCGAGATCTCAGCTCTATGAATGACTGCACATGAGGTGGTGACCCATTGCGATTTTTGATCAATCTTGTCAAAAGTCTTAGGTTGTTCACCACAGTATTTCAAGTGACTGCAGTTATACAGCTGAGCTCGCACAATTACCCACCACAGTTATATGCAATTATATATTTCTCTTTTTGACCTATTTCTATATGAATACACCTCATCTGCTTATAACTGGTTTACTTATGTGACTGTCATGAGTATACTGCAGTGCTTATGCTCGCAAAAAAATATATATGTTATTATTGCCTATTGTATCACATAAAGTGGCCTGGGAACTCTTCTGCTGTGTTTTTAGATTTCTCAAATAAACATCCCTTTAAAATGTAATTTTCATACCTGTTATTTTATTTTTTAATACCTGTTATTTTATTTTTTTAACTTGTTAAAAGCTTTTCATTTTAATTGTGCGGGTACATGGTAGATGTATATATTTATGGGATACATGAGATGTTTTGATACAGGCAGGCAGTGCATAATAATCACATCATGGAGAATGGGGTATTCATTCCTTAAAGCATTTATCCTTTCTGTTACAAACAATCCAACTATACTCTTTAAATTACTTTAAAATGTACAGTTAAATTACTATTGACTATATTTACCCGGTTGTGCTATCAAATAATAGGTCTTATTCTTTCTATTTATTTGAACCTATTAACCATCTCCACCTCACCGCTACCACACCACAATGCTTCCCAGCCTCTGGTAACTGTCTTTCTTCTCTCTGTCTCCATGAATTCAATTGTTTTTATTTTTAGATCCCACAAATAAGTGAGAACATGTGATGTTTGTCTTTCTGTGCATGGCTTATTTCACTTAGCATAATGACCTCCAGGTCCATACATGTTGAAATTGACTGGATCTCATTCCTCTTTATGGCTGAATAGTACTCCATTCTGTATAAGTATCAAATTTTCCTTTATCTATTCATCTGTTGATGGACACTTAGGTTGTTGTTAAATCTTGGCTATTCTGAACAATCCTGCAACAAACATGGGAGTGCAGGTATCTCTTCAATATACTGATTTCCTTTTTTGGAGAGTATATACCCAGCAGCGGGTTGGCTGGATCATATGGTAGCTCTATTTTTAGTTTTCTGAAGAACCTTCAAACTGTTCTCTATAGTGGTTGTACTAATTTACATTCCTACAAACAAGGTACAAGGGTCCCCTTTTCTCCACATGATTGTCAGAATTTCTTATTGCCTGCCTTGGTTATAAGCCATTTTAACTGGGATGAGATGACATCTCATTGTAGTTTTGATTTGTATTTCTCTAATGATCAATGATATTGAGCACTTTTCATATCTCCATTTGCCATTTGTATGTCTTCTTTTCAGAAATGTCTGTTCAGATCTTTTCCCCATTTTCGATGGGATTATTAGATTTTTTCCTATAGAGTTTTTTGAACTCCTTATATATTCTGGGGACTAAATCCTTGTCAGATCAGTAGTTTAGAAATATTTTCTCCCATTCAGTAGGTGGTCTCTTTACTTTGTTGATGGTTTCTTTTGCTGTGCAGATTTTTTTTAACTAGATGCGATCCCATTTGTCAATTTTTGCTTTGGTGGCCTGTGCTTGTGGGATATTACTCAGCAATTTTTTCCCAGACCAATTACTTGGAGATTTTCCCCGCTATTTTCTTGTAGCACTTTCATGGTTAGAGGTCTTATATTTAAGTCTTTAATCCATTTTGATTTGATTTTTATATATGGTGAGATAAAGGGTTCTAGTTTCATCGTTCTGCATATGGATATTCAATTTTCCCCACATCATTTATACAAGAGACTGCTTTTTCCACAGTGTATGTTCTTGACACTTGTGTTGAAAATGAGTTCAGTGTAGGGATATGGATTTATTTCTGAGTTCTCAATTCTATCCAAGTACTCTGTGGGTCTTTTTTTATACCAGTACCATATTATTTTGGTTACTATAACTCTGTAGTATAATTTGAAGTTAGGTAATGTGATTCTTCCAGTTTTGTTCTTTTTGCTTTGGATAGCTTTGTATATTCTGGGTCTTTTGTGGTTTTATATAAATTTTAGGGTGTTTTTTTTTTCTATTTCTATGAAGAATGTCATTCATGTTTTGATAGGGATTGCACTGAACCTCAAGATTGCCTTGGAACATTTTAACAATATTGATTCTTCCAATCCATTAACATAGACAATCTCTGCATTTTGTGTGTGTGTCCCCTTCAACTTCTTTAATCACTGTTTTTTAATTTTCATTATAGAAATATTTAGCTTCTGAGGTTAAGTTAATTTCTAACTATTTAGTTTTCTTTTGGCTATGGTAAATGGGATTCCTTTTCAAATTGCTTTTTCAGATTGTTCACTGTTGGCATATAGAAATGTTACTGATTTTTATATGTTTATTTTGTATCCTGCAACTTTACTGAGTTTGTTGATCAGTTCTACTTACTCCTTATCATTTTATAGTTTTATAGCTTCTTTGTCTCTTAAAGTTTTTGTCTTGAAATCTATTTTGACTGATGTAAATATAGCTACTCCTGATCTATTTTGTTTTTCGTTATCATGAAATATCATTTTTCATCTCTTTATTTTCAGTCATGTGTGTCTTTATAAGTGAAGTGAGTTTCTTTTAGACAACAGACCATTGGGTCTTGCATATTAATCCATTTAGCCACTATGTGTTTTTATCCATTTAATTTTTTGATTGGAAAAATGTAGTCCATTTATTTTCAATGTTATTTTTGATGAGTAAGGACTTATTCTTAACATTTTATAATTTGTTTTCTGTTTTTTTTTGTGTGTTCTTCTCTTCTTTCTTTCTTTTATTCCTATCTTCCTTTTACTGAAGGTAATTTTCTCTGGTGATATGGTTATCTTCCTTTTTTTAATGGTTGTGTATTTGTTATAGATTATTTGGGTCGAGGTTATATGAGGCTTGCAAATACTATTATTTTAGGCTAAAATAGCAAACTGTCACATAAACAATAAACAAACAAAAAATGAAAAGTAGTAAAAACTCTATGATTTAACTTTATTCCCCCACTTTTTAACTTTTTGTTGTTTCTATTTATATCTTATTGTACTCTTTATGGTTTCAAAGTTTTTCTAGTTATTAGTTTTGATTGGTTTATTGTTTAGTCTTTCTACTTAGGATAAAAGTAGTTTACACACCACTGTTATAATATTGTGGGTTTTTCTGTGTATTTACATTACTAGTAAGTTTTGTACCTTCAGGTAATTATTTACTGCTAATTAACATTTTTTTCTATCTCATTGAAGTATTCCCTTTATCATTTCTTGTAGGACAGGTCTGGTGATAATTAAATTCTTCAGCTTTTGTTTGTTTGGTAAAGTATTTCTCTTTCATATTTAAAGAATATTTTAGCCAGATATACCATTCGAGGGTAGTAGGTTTGTTTTTTTTTCAGTATTATAAATATGTCATGTCTCTCTCTCCTCACCTGTAAGATTTCCACTGAAAAGTCTTCTGCCAGACGTTGGAGCTTCATTGAATAATATTTTTTTTCTCTTGCTGTTTTTGGAACCTGTTTTTAAATCCTTGATCTTTGGGGGTTTGAATATTAAATGCATCGAGATAGACTTCTTTTGATTAAATCTGCTTGGTGTTCTATAACCTTCTTGTAGTTGGATATTGATATCTTTCCCTAGGTTTAGGGAGTTCTCTGTTATTATCCTTTTGAATAAACTTTCTACCTATCTCTTTCACTACCTCCTTTTAAGGCCAATAACTCTTAGATTTTCACTTTTGAGACATTTTCTAGATTCTCTGGGTATGCATCATTTTTTTTTTGTCTTTTGTCTCCTCTGACTGTATTTTCAAGTAGCCTGTCTTCAAGCTTGCTATGTTTTCTTCTGCTAGATTAATTCTCCTATTAAAATACTCTGATGAATTATTTAGTGTATAACTTCCATTATTTATCTTCAGAATTTCCGATTGATTTTTTAAAATTATTTCAGTTCATCTGATAGAATTCTGAATTACTTCTCTATATTATCCTGAATTTCATTGTTTTCTAAAAACACTTATCATGGCTTCTCTGTCTGAAATTTCACATATCTTTGTTTCTCCAGGAGAAACAAAGCCTGTGGCTTACTTAATGCATTTTGGCAATGTCATGTTTTCCTCGATGGTCTTGATACTTGCAGATGTTCATCTGTTTCTAGGCATTGAAGAGTTAGGTATTTATTGTAGACCTCACAGTCTGGTATTATTTGTTTCTGCCCTTCTTGGGTAGGTTTTCCAGATATTTGGAAAGATTTGAGTACCGTGATCAAAGCTGTATCTGCTTTAGGTGGTACCCCAAGCCCAATAATTCTACGGTCCTTGCAGACTCATAGAGGTACTGCTTTGATAGTCTTGGGCTGGATCTGGAAGAATTTTCTAGATTAACAGGCATAGACCCTTGTTCTCTTCCATTACTTTCTCTCAAACAAATGGGCTCTCTCTCTGTTCTGAGCCAACTAAAGCTGAGGGTGAAGTGAAACAAGTACCCCTGGTGGCCACCACCACTATGACTGTGCTGGGTCAGACATGAAGGAAACACAGAACTGGGTCTCACCCATGACCTGTTCTAACCAATCCCTGGCCACTGACTATGTTCACTCAAAGCCCTGGGGTTCTACAATCAGCAGGTGGCAAAGTCACCCAGACCTGTGTCTTCCCCTTCAGGGTGGCAAGTTCTCCTAGGCCCTAAGCAGGTCCAGAGGTGTTGTCCTGGATCTAGTTACCAGAGTCAAAATCCTTAGAAATCTACCCGGTGTTCTATTTTATTGAGGCAGAGATGGCACTCAAATTACAAGAAGCAATCCTTCTCATTCTTCTGTCCACTTTCCAAAAGCAGGGGAGCCTTACCCCATGGCTCTCACCACCACAGGCCAATGGAGAGTACTTCCAGACTACCACTGATGTTCTCTTAAAGCCCAAGAGCTCTTCAGTCAGTTTGTGGTAAATGCTGCCTGGGCTGGGACTCACTCTTTAGGCCAGTGGGCCCCCTTCTTTCTTAGGATAGGTCCGGAAATGCAATCCGAGAATCAATTCCTGAAATCAGAGACCTCAGGAGCCCACTTGCTTCTCTACCTTTTGTGGCCAACTGGTATCTAAGGTGCAAGATGAAGGCCCCTTTACTTTTTCCTTTGCTTTTATCAAGTAGATGGAGTCTTACCCCTTAGCTGCCACAGCAGGGAATGTGCTGAGTCTCACCTGAAGCCAATATGTCTCAGAAGCTTACCCAAGGCCCTTGATGTGGTTCCTGGGTATCATTGCTGGTTATTCAGGGACCAAGAACTATTTATTTAGCAGATGATGAATGCTGTCAGGCCTGGGTCCTTCCCTTGAAGGCAGTGGGTTCCCTCTGGCCAAGGGTTTGTCCAGGAACTAGGGCCTGGAAAAGAGGCCTCACAACTTTGACCAGTGCCCTATCATGCTGTTGCTTAGGTGGTATCCAAGATGCAAGATACAATTCTCCACACTCTTTCCTCACCTCTCCTCAAACAGAAGGATGGGATCTCTTTGGAGCCACAAACTCTGCCACCTGGCTTTAGAGGAGAGATCCAAGCACTCCCTTAGCTTCCCTAGCTGGTATATGAGTAGTTCCTGTGCCCTCCCATTCCTCTGGTTCTGGGCCCAGTTCAGCACTAGGACTCAGCTAGGAGTTACAGCCTAGACTGACCTTCAAGTTTCTTTAGAGCCCCAGAGCACTTAAGTCCACGGTGGTGAGGCATGCAGGAACTCAAGTTCTGACCACTGGGATCTGCAGTTCCCCTCTGGCTAGAGCTGGTTTAAATGCTCCCTCCATGGGTGCATGTCAGCTGAGTTTGGTCTGGTTTTCTTTCCTGCTTCAACAGGACAGCAGTGAGTTAAGTGCCTCACAACTCCTATACTCTCCTTCCCCACCCCAGCCCCCTGCCCCCAGCACGGAGAACTGTTCTCTGTGCCATGCCTCCAATGCTGGTGGATCAGGGAGTGGTAGTATTGGCAATTCAAGACTGTTTTTCTACGTCTTCAGTGCCTCTTTCAATGATATGAAGTTAAAACCAGGTATCGTGAGTGCTCACCTGATTTTTGGCTCTTATACAGGTGCTTTTTTTGTGTGTAGAGAGTTGTTAAATTGGTGTTTTTTTTTATGGAGGGGACGATCAATAGAGCCTTCTATTTCACCATCTTGCTCAGCCTAGTCTCCAAAATGTAAATTTATTTTAAATTATTTTTTCCAGAATTATTTCAGGATGATAAAATTTGGGATTTTAATTTTGAGGATTATGGCTTTTGAGACTATGTCTTTCAAGATTATAATTGGCTCCTGATATTAACACTTACCACTTATGTGTCATGTATTACATTAAGCCGTTAACATGAATTATCACTTTACAAACTTACTGAAATCTTATTAGATATATATGATTACTCTCATTTTGTATTTAGAGAAGTGTGGATACACACTGGTAAAATCACTTATTCAAGAGTACAGCTAAAAATTTACTTGGATTTGATATAAAAATGTTCAAAATTTGATCACAGAGTTACTAGAAATTTTTTTGTACTTCCTGATTTGCTAAGTACAACTTCCATAGTATAAGTATGGTAAACAATTACTTCTCATCTCATTGGTATTAAAAATGAAATAGACAGCAATGAAAAAACTTGTAAAATCTTCATGGTCTTTTTATCTTCTACTTAGCAAAATATATTTTGTTTATGTTTTATGGTATTTAGCATATTTATATTAAAATATAAATTAAATACAATAAATATAAAGAAATCTCTAGAAGCTGGCTTAGCATACATACCTGAATGAACAGTATCCATATTTCATACTCCTAAATTATCCATTATGACAGTTAGATGAACACTGGATAGTGTGTAAAAATGATAGGTGGTAAATTTTGAGTGGTCATTATATACTGACCTTGAAATAATTAAAATAAATTATGGGGACTAAATGAATTATTTATTTTCTAAACTTCCTTGTTTGGCTTGTTGTAGACAATGTTACAATTTGTCCTTTACAACTGACTCCTCTACTTACATTTGTCTTACTTTGTCCAGTTACAGAGCTTCAGGCTCCCTAAAATGCCCATTTTCATTTCTTTGAATGTATATTTACTTCCATTTTTTATCTGCTTCATTATG
Organism: Homo sapiens; assembly: GCF_000001405.40. Classification (NCBI taxonomy): domain Eukaryota; kingdom Metazoa; phylum Chordata; class Mammalia; order Primates; family Hominidae; genus Homo; species Homo sapiens. Next base: position 4,688,911 of record NC_000024.10, on the reverse strand, counting down.
CATATAATTTTCCATGTGTAATAATTTCACCATATCAGCAATATCTTCTATGTTAACAAACACATTTCAAATCATCTTTATTTCGCCTTCTAAAGCCTATGCTCTTCTTTAGTGGCACTAAAACTCTTCTTTCTATAGGTCATTCATATTTTGGAAAATAAGATCATTTTGAAGAGATCACATAAGGACTCTATAATTTGGCTTGCTTATTTCATGTTGAAGACTTGATGCCAAAACATCGATACAGATTAAGTAATAGTGCCCCTAACTCTTTAGATTTAACTCAGAGGTACGAAATTGAGTGTTAGACACTCACAAGAATATTGTCAATGTTGATATGTAAATTTCCTCAGATTCTCCTCTGACAAAATATACTGGGAAAACTGTTAGATTTCCAAATAATTTCCTCAGGGCAGCTTTATTCAATCCAGCCTCTAGCAGCTTAAGCAAATGATCGGAAGCCAAATGAGTACTCATTTTAGAGAACTAAGGGTTATGAAAATTTCCCTGGGATAACCTTCCCATGTCACAGCTACAAAGTCTCTGGACACCTATATTAAATGTATCTGGATTCTCCTCAACAAACTGTGTCTTAATTCTCACTCTTTGTAGTATGATAAAGTCATAATTTAGCCTTGTTGGTAGTTTCTTATCTTCTTAACAGGGATTTAATTAGGAAATGTTTTACTTATGTGTGGAGTAGGTGAACATTAATTATCTAATTCTCATAATTTCCTTCAAAACCATGATTTTTGAGATGGAATATTCTGTAACATTGTATGTTTATTACTAAGCATGAGATTTGGCTTAGCTTCCGTAAGTAAATGACAGTTTGGACAATGGGGAGTGTTTTCTTCACTATTTTTTTATATTCTATTGGTTTTCTTTCATAAATCTAGTTCCACCTTGCTATCAACTGAATAAATCTGATAGTAAAGTATTGAAGTAAATGTCAATGTGTCAATTCTTAGGTAGTTATTTTAAAAGTCCCAATATTTGTATATTTTCATTTTGTATGTGCCATTAAATGTTGATTTGTAAAAGACACCTCCCCACAAGGCATTTGCAAACAATAGTAATGCAGAAATAAGCAATTATATATTTCCCAAAATATAATTTTTCAAAGGATAAGCAAGGCATTTCACTGTTTCACTCCCGTCCAAATTCTAGTAGGTATTTATACATAAGATTAAAATTATTATTAATAGAATAATGTAATTTTATATATAAAATTAATATAATTTATATTAATATAATTTTATATATAAAATTATTGTGGGGCAGAAAAGTGGAAGTAGTGCTAAACTAAAAGTATAATATTCAGTACTAGAAATTATATTATATAGAATTTTCTGACAAATAATTTTATTATTATTATTATTATTATTATTATTTTGAGACAAAGTCTTGCTCTGTCACCCAGGCTGGAGTGCAGTAGTGCAATGTCAGCCCACTGCAACCTCCACCTCCTGGGTTTAAACGATTCTCCTGTCTCAGCCTCCCCAGTAGCTGGGACTACAGGTGGATGCCACCATGCCTGGCTAATTTTTGTATATTTAGTAGAGACAGAGTTTCATTGTGTTGGCCATGCTGGTCTCAAACTTCTGAACTCAGGTGATCCACCCACCTTGGCCTCACAAAATGCTGGGATTACAGGCTTGAGCCACTGCACCCAGCCCTTCATTTTGGTTTTTAAGTAATTAAGAGACCAAATTCAAATCCTGGTTGCACATACCAAGCAAAAATATACAAAGACTGATGCATGTAGTGCTCAGAAATTACTCTGGTACAACTGGGCACTAAAATACAGACACAGTATTCTCTCTATCATGTTATACTATCTCCTTGTTCTAATGACATCAGCACTTTAGAAGACTACTGGTCAGGTATTTTGGAATTTCTCCCAATTTTTGTTTCTCTGCTCTTTTTTCATGATTATACCGAGGAAACAGATTTTGGGGGAATAACACAGAGATAAAGTACTCTTCTCATCATACCATTTTGGGGTAAAATAATATCTGCATTACTTATTATTGGTGATGTTAAACTTGACCACTTGACAAAGGTGGTATTTTCCAGGCTTCTGCACTGCAAAGTTACTACTTCTCCTGTTCCATTCTGTGTTTTCAGAAATGAGTCACTAAATCCAGCCCACGCTCAGAGGAAAGAGAATTAAACCCCAGGTTTTGGAGGGAGAAGTATCAAATACTTTGTGGACACTTGTTAGGAAAAACACCACTGAAATTAGTAAGTATGTTTGGGAAGATAATTTGAGTCTATTCAAATATACTGTTTCTTTTTAAAGTTGCTTCCAAAATGTTTAGCAGTCATTAATGGTTCTTGCTTGTAACAATTACTGCTGTAGTATTCCACTGATTACTTTTTATTCCCATCACTCTTAATTCCTGTGTTATATGGAATTCTTCTGGACTAAAGATATGTCTCTTTTCTCGTTTATTTATTTATTTGGTCATTTATTAATCAGTATGGAACTGCTAATGTGTATCTACCTTTTAGCCCCCTCCACAACTCCAAAACTATCATTATTAATTTTGTTTCTCAAACTATTTCAGATTTGGTCATTGGAGCTGCTCTTTCACATGGGCTCCTTTGTCTTCCCTCCCTCCCTCCCTCCCTCCCTGCCTGTCTGCCTTCCTTCCTGCCTTCCTTCCTTCCTACCTTCCTTCCTTCCTTCCCTCCCTCCTTCATTCCTCGCTTCATTCCCCTTTACTTCCTTCCTTCCATCCTTCCTTCACTCCTTCTGTTTTGACTTCCTTCCTTCCTTCCCTCCCTCTTCCGTTCCTCACTTCATTTCCCTTCCTTCCTTCCTTTCATCCTTCCTTCACCCCTTCCGTTTTGACTTCCTTCCTTCCCTCCTTTCTTCCTTCCCTCCTTCCTTCCTTCTTCCTTTCTAAGCTCCCTCTGTGTACTGAGCCAGAAATAATATGTATGAGTGCATGTACACTAACCCATATATAAATATATACATCTATAGTTATCTCTATATTTATATATTTGTATCTCTATTAACATAAACACTGATATTTCTCAGTTAGTTATGCCCCACAGGGTTTATTCTTGCCTTCCTTGTTTATTTAATCTACTCAAAACACTGGTTGTCAAAGTTACTTAGGTTTGTTATTTTTCTTTTCGAACCCTTCCGTGAAGTTATGTTATACAATTACAACACAGCTGGGTTCATTTTTCTTGTCTGCAATCCTTCCTGGGTTTCCTGACATCCTGTTTTGTTTTTTGCAATTTCCATATGGTAAAGTTTATCTTTTGGATTGTACAGCTCTATAAGTTTTGAAAAATGCTTAGTCATGTATCCACCACCAAAGTACCATGCAAAACAGCGCATCTTCCTAAAATTTTCCTGTGTGTCCTCTTTGTAGCCACGTAATCTTCCTTCCCATAATCTTTGGCAACTACAGATCTGTTTTTCATTCCTATAGTTTTGCCTTTACCCAAATGCTTTTCAAATGGAATAATACAATGCTTAGCAAAATGTATATTAGATTTAGCCACACTGTCGTTTGAATCAACTGTTTGTTCATTTTTCTTGCTGAGTATTATTACATTCAATGGATATATTACAGCTTGTTTATCCATTCACCTGTTGAAGGATTTCTGGCTTCTTCTTTTTGTGATTATAAGAGAAAGTGCTATAAACATGTGTTTACAAGCTTTTAGTAAATACGAGTTTCCAATTCTTTTTGTTAATATCTAAGAGTGGAATTACTGGATCATATGATAAATGTATGTATACATTTGTAAAAAATTGCTAAACCATTTTCAGAGGTGGCTGAACAATTTTGCATATCATCTAGCAACTAATTAAAGTTGCTGTTAACTTGCATCATTGCTAGAATTTTATCTTGTCAGGTGTGTGTGTGATTGTTTTGTTGCCATTTTAATACTTGTGTAGTACATTGTGGTTTTAATTTGCATTCCCCTAATAATTAATGATGTTGAGTATTTTTTTCACATGGTTTCACATATCTGTTTTGGGGAAGTGTCTTTTTAGACTTAAAAAATTATTAAATTTATTAAAATTTATTAATTTTGTTGCTTTTTTCCTTATTGTTGACTTTTGAGTGTTATTTATATATTGTACATGGAAGATTTTATTGGAGATGTGATTTTAACTGCAAATATTTTCTCTTAGTGTGCGTGTTACCTTTTCATTCTCCTTACAGTGTCTTTTACAGAACAAAGTATTCTAATATTGATAAAGTCTAATTTAACATTTTTAAAGTAGATCACGCTTTGTATTTTTTAGTTAAGTCTTACTGTTAAACTAAAGATTATATAGGTTGTCTCATGTTTCCTTTTAAAAGTTTTATAGTTTTGTTATACATTATGGTAAATGACATATTTTCAGTTAATTTTTGGATAATGTATCAGGTATATGCCTGTAGTTTATTAATTTCATATGGATTTACAGTTGATACTGCAATATTTGTTGAAAAAATCCTTTCTTTATTAAATTAGTGAATCTCTGTAAAAAGCAATAAACTGTATTCTTATAGGCCTATTTCTCAGCTGTCTCTTCTATTCTGTTGATGTATATGTTATCTTTTTTTCCAATACCACAGCTTTAATTATTAAAGTTTTATAATAAGTCCTGAAATTGGACAGTGGGAGCCCTTTAGCTTTTTTCTTCTTTTTCTGAATTGTTTTAGCTATTGTAGTTCCTTTGTTTTGCCATATATATTTTAGAATCAGCTTCTGATATCTCACTAAAAGCTTGCTGGGATTATGATAGGAATATCATTAAGTGCATATAGCAAATGAGAAAGGATGGACATGTTAACAATATTGCACCTTCTAATTTATGAATGAGGGAAATATCTTTTTCATCTCTATTGATTTAGATATTTGATTTCTTTTACCAGCGTTTTGTAAGTTTCAGTGCAGACATTCTTCACATATTGTGTTAAATTTATACCCAAGTACTTAATTTTATTTAGTACTATTGTAACTGACGTCATTTAAAAACTTCAGATTTCTACTCTTAATTGCTGTAATATAGTAATATGATTGATTTCTGTATATTTTCTTTGCATTATGAGACCTTGCTAAGTTCACTTATGAGATCTAAGAACTTTTTGTACATTTTGTATGTTGACTGTCATGTCCTCTGAAAATAGAGGCAGTTTTGTTTCTTAGTATGCACTCTATATGTCAATTCTTTCTTTATTTTGTCTCAGTTCGCAGGCTAAGATCCCCAGTGTGATGCTAATAGGAGGAGTGAAAGCAGATATTTGTCTTGACCCTGCTATTACAATAGCATTCATTCTTTTACCATTAGGTATAGATGTTAGCTGTAGATATGTTAAATGTTTTTTAATAGGCTATTCCCTTCTCATTGCATTTAAGTGAAAGCTTAATCTGTGTAAATTTTCATCTTCTGCTCAAATTAAATAACAAAAAGTTCTAATCATATTTTAAATTTGGAAGCAGCTATGTCTAGTTATGTTATTAAAATTTTCTATAAGCCTTTTGCTCTGCATCCTCAACAGAATTTGATCTTGTCAGGTTTGTTTGTTTGTTTTGTTGCTATTCTTATATTTGTGTAGTGCATTGTGTTTTTAATTTGCATTTCCCTAATAACTAATGGTGTTGAGCATTTTTTTCATATGTTTCCACTTATCTGTATTTATTAAGTAGAATAATATAATCTACTTAATAAAAAGCATCTGATAAAACTGTACCACTAGTAAGAAAAACAGCTCTTTATATGCAGTTTCTGTTTAGGAAGTTATGATTTAGGGTTAAGGCCTTAAGATATACCATCTCACGCCAGTTAGAATGGCAAAAATTAAAAAGTCAGTAAACAACAGATGCTGGAGAGGATGTGGAGAAATAGGAACGCTTTTATACTGTTGGTGGGAGTGTAAATTAGTTCAACCTTTGTTGAAGACAGTGTGGCAACTCCTCAAGGATCTAGAACTAGAAATATCATTTGACCCAGCAATCCCATTACTGGGTATATACCCAAAGGATTAAAAATCTTTCTACTATAAAGACACATGCACATGTATGTATATTGTAGCACTGTTCACAATAGCAAAGTCTTGGAACCATCCCAAATGCCCGTCAATGATAGACTGGATAAAGAAAATGTGGCACATATACACCATGGAATACTATGCAGCCACATAAAAGGATGAGTTCATGTCCTTTGCAGAGACATGAATAAAACTGGAAACCATCATTCTCAGCAAAGTAACACAAGAAGAGAAAGCCAAATACCACATGTTCTCACTCATAAGTGGGAATTGAACAATGAGATCATGGACACAGGAAGGAGAACATCACACACTGGGGCCTGTTGAGGGGTGGGAGGCTGGGGGAGGGATAGCATTAGGAGAAATACCTTATGTAGGTGACCAGTTGATAGGTGCAGCAAACCAACATGGCATATATATACCTATGTAACAAACCTTACACGTTGTGCACATGTACCCCAGAACTTAAAGTATAATAATAAAAAATTAAAAATAAAAGATATACCATCTCCTACAATTTATTCAGAACTTTTAGTCTGAGTACATATTGCTTCCTACATATTTTATTTATGTTTTTATTTCTCTTTCTTATGTGTACTTTTCTGTTTTTTAAATATAACTGGTTAAAATTGTTAAGTATTGATATTTGATCAGAGAATCTAGAAGTAGAGATGAAAAAGACCTATTGAGTCTTTCTCATTCCACTGTGGAGATGCACTGACCACCCAACTAACTGTGTTTCATCTACATAAAGCTATAGGTGGGTCTATTAGTCCCTGCAGAAATAATGCCAGAGGGGCTTTTCTTATTCAGAAAAAAATTTTTTTTCACATGTATTACTATTTCATCCTATCATGATTTTGCATTTGAGAGGTAAATTGAAAAGAAAGATAAATTCCTTAGCAAATGTTTCTTTTCAGGATAATTTCTTTAAATATTTTTCACCATAAAGAAGTCATTAAGACTATCACAGAAAGTTTCAACTTCTCTATTACATGAATTGATTATTACTTAGGGGTTTCGAAAAATCTCAGACAGAACAATCTCTGCAGGCAGGTTTGTAAGAAACTAATGAATAGAAATGAAAGAAGCAAATAAATGGAAGTAAGGGTAGGTCAGAGATGTTTGTGAGAGAAATGACATCTAGAATGAGCTGAAGTAGACAGAACATTTTAGTTGTCTCAAGGTGAATTGATCTTTATGAAATGTTTGCTATGTGAAGCTTTATTTGAAAATACAGTTCTCCAATTCACAGGAAGGTATCACTTTAGGATTAGGCTGAGTAAGTGGCTGAGTTATACGACCAAGTGTACCAACGGCAAGTAAACTAATCTGTAGTTAGTTGTAGAATGTGGTCAGATCAGTTTACCATATCTATCTACATAGTTTGACAGACTACAGATGCATCCCCTGGTGGAAACCTTTCACCTGAATCCAGACAAACCACAGGAAGCAGATACATGCGTTGTATGGTCAGTTTACCCCAGGACTACTGACTAGACACTGATCAAGACCATTTCTTTCTGCTTGCCTGTGACTTCATAATAGTCACATAGCTTAATTCATACATTATAATACTCAAATACACAAAGTGGAATGGCAAGTTTAATTATTTTCTTATTATCCATAGTATTTGAAAGCATTCAAGATCCTTTATGTGTTACTACTCTATAAGTTAACAATGACATTAATGAAATTTATATAGCCAATTAGGGAGATATAGCCAGTTATATGAAAGCATATCCTCACTGTTCTGTGTGTAACAAGGCTACAGTGTGAATAAAGATGCTTTCACAATGCCTGAAATGCCTCCCAACTCTCTTCTTTTTCATGCTTAATACCACAACCTTTTTCCCAGTTAACAACTCAATGTTAAATATGTATTATATGTATAAACATACATAGTGTTCTCATTTGTTAAAAGCATTATATCTTCTTTTCTTTTTAACTAGCACAAAACAACCATGTGTAATCTTAAAATCCTACTTGTTACACCTCTATTTAATTTTATAACTTCTTTCTGTAGGAAAAGGCATTTTTTTTAAAAAAATAGACATATGATGGTAGACAGTAAATTGCTTTAGCCTAGAAAACAAAACTAAAATGATGAATTTCTAAAGGATTTTTTAGAACTGTATGAAATTTGGTTTCATACAAGAAACTTTCATTGAATCAAAAGATAAAAAAAATCTTCCATGGGAGATATAATCAGTGCACTGACAGATTTGATATATTGCAGCTGAATTATTAGTCCATCAGATTAACCAAATGTGTAAGTATTACTAACTTTGTAATACAATGGTAAAAATCCAGTTTATGGTCATTAGAGAAATGCAGATCAGAAGCACAATGAGATACCATCTCATGCCAGTTAGAATGGTGATCATTAAAAAGTCAGGAAACAACAGATGCTGGAGAGAATGTGGAGAAATAGGAACACTTTTACACTGTTGGTGGGACTGTAAACTAGTTCAACCATTGTGGAAGACAGTGTGGCGATTCCTCAAGGATCTAGAACCAGAAATACCACTTGAACCAGCAATCCCATTACTGGGTATATACCCAAAGGATTAAAAATCTTTCTACTATAAAGACACATACATGCACACGTATGTTTATTGTAGCACTGCTCACAATAACAAAGACTTGGAACCAACCCAAATGCCCATCAATGATAGACAGGATAAAGAAAATGCGGCACATATACACCATGGAATACTGTGCAGCCATAAAAAAGGATGAGTTTATGTCCTCATGATGAAGCACAGATGAAGCTGGAAACCATGATTCTCAGCAAACTGACACAGGAACAGAAAACCAAACACCTCATGTTCTCACTCGTAAGTGGGAGTTGAACAATCAGAACACATGGACACAGGGAGGGGAACATCACACACCAGGGTCTGTCGGGGTTGGGGGGTTAGGGGAGGGAGAGCATTAGGAGAAATACCTAATGTAGATTACAGGTTGATGGGTGCAGCAAACCACCAAGGCACGTGTATACCTATGTAACAAACCCGCATGTTCTGCACATGTATCCCAGAACTTAAAGTAAAATTTAAAAAAAAAAAACAGTTTATATTGGACAGATTAAAGATCTATTTTTATAAATCTGCAGCTTAAATTAACTCATTTAGTCTTAGTGAATAAAAATTTTTATAAATTTATTTTAAAACTATATTTAATTTTGTCTATATAACAATAAAATTAACCACAAATTTAAAAATACTGTGTTATTAAAACATATAATTCATAAATACGTGTTTCTTTAATGACATTTTAATGCTATTGTAGCTGAGAATATGCCTTGTGAAACACACACAAAGAGACCCACAAACTAAGAAAAAGAAATTAGAAGACAGCAATATTATACATCAGTTATTCCACTCTGGAGGAATCATGAGAATCAAATTATTTGTCTCAGCAATTCCCTTAAATTGCTTTTGTTTTTTAATTTCTTTAATGAAACTATTAAAAATACCGTTTGGATATTCTCAACAACATCAGTGATAATAACAATATATTTGATATTCTGGAAAAGGAGAAATATGGTGAACATTTTTATTTTTATATACAGTATTTTTAATATAAATTACAGTAACTATAGCATGAGAAAATTTGAGATACAAGGTATTGATTTCCAAAAAAATGAATGGTCAAGATAAAGAACAGAACACAAATGGATTTCTAAACTGTAGGCTTATTATATTGCCCAGAAATTATTAAATAAGACCTAAAGCAGAAGTAAACAGTGGTGCTAAATATCTCACATTCTAAAGCAGTGGTTTTTATAACTTTATCGTGTGTCAGAATCACCTTCAGGGACTGCCAAAATACACATTGCTTGGCCCCACCTCTAGGTCCTAATTCAGTACATCTGAAGAGAAGCCTGAGAGTTGGAATTTCCCACAAGTTTATAAGTTATGTTAATAATGCTGTTCCAGAAACACCCTTTAAGAACCACTGCGATAAAGAGAGCTAAATACATTTCTCAGGGCTTCAGAGTTGACCAAGCCTGCTATACTACCACTTGCCATTGACTCCAAATTCTGTCTTCCCAATTTGTATAAGAAAAATTAGAACAGGAGAAATAAATAGTTGTTAGATTCAATAGCTTTTAAGAAGTGTCAAGGTGATTGTGAAAACCATTTCTGTTCTTATTCTGGCTATAGGTCCATCTAAGAACTCACACAACCCAGCCAGCCTTTTCATGCCTACCAAACACAGGTTATTAATGATTGATGTTAGACACAAGAGTATTGACAATCCACAGATAAATGACTACAATAGTACCGGATATCTCTTCCTTTTCCTTCCATCCTTCATATTTCTGCACACAGGAGAAACTTAGTCTTAATGAGGGAAAGGTTGCCTCAGGTCCGGATGGCAGTTCAAGCTTGTGATTTCAGGGTGGTGGGGAGGAGATGAGATTAAAGTGTGGCATTCACAAGTCTCTCAATCTGTTACCTGTTCTGTAAAATGGAGATAATTGTAAATTATATGGCCATTGAAAAGTTTAAATGAGATAATTCACATAAATTACTTAACATGGAGTCGGCACTCAATGAATGTTAGCTCTTTATTAGCTATATGTGATGAGATGTCATAGACAATTTCCAGATCATGTGTTAACATGTTGAAATTATTGTTCAGTGAAACAGTGTAACAAACTCAATAACATCATTCTGGAATTAAACATCCTGGGTTCAAATCTTGTTTCCACAATTTATAGCTGTGTCATTCCACCTTTTTTAAGGCTCAGGGTTTTATCAGTATATTGAGGATAATAGTTCTTATCTCATAGGGCTATTGTGAAAATTAAATGTTAATGGTCTTGGTAGATCCTTTCGCCTAGCACTCACTGTATAGTTAGTGCTAATAAATGCTGGCCTTTAGCAGTGTAATGTTAGAAAGATGGTGGCAGAGGCAGCTGGTAGATGAATGGGGACAGACTGTAAGCAATTGTTTAGGAATTGTCACTAACAGCCTTGATAATAGCAGTAAAAATTAAAATGAAGATAAAGTGCCAGATTCATGAGAAGTTACAAAAGATGAATTAGTAAAAGTTTGTACTTGATTGTAGTACAAAAGTTATTTAAAAATAATTTTTAGGCAAGTAAACAGGGTAAAGGTTTTTGGTAAAAACTAACAGAAACGTGGCTTAGAAAGCCAAGCCAGCAAGCTTCAATATACAAATGCCAACAAATGGTAACTGGGTCTACCCAACATGCCGATTCCCACCATCTTCTCCTTGTCACCACCTGTGTCAAGTGTCATGGCCACCTCCAAATAACACCATGTGCTCAAAACATCATGGCAACCCACATTTGCATATTAAAAAGGTAAGGTGGAAGGGCCAGGTTTTTCTTTGGCTACATAAATAACACACCTAGTCAAACCAATCCCCTGGGCCCTATGTAAACCCGACACTGCCTCCTCCAGCCTCCCAATATAACCAACAAATTTTCTGCCACAGATGAGGTTCCTTTTTGTTCCAAGCCCTCCTTCTTCTGTCTCTATATGAAGAAGCTGTTTTCTCCTTTCTTATTTCTGGCCTATTAAACTTTTTGCTCCTTAAAACCACTCCACATATATCTGTGTCGTTAATCCTATTGGCTCAAAACCAAGAACCCTGGTGTTCTTCCAGTCATCAAAGCGATATCAACTGGATATAGAGAATAAAGGAGAATAAATAGCAAAATATGATTCTAAGATTTTGACTTAGTTTAACTTTAGTGTGGTGTGGACAAAAATAGTAGATTAAGGTATGATAATTTTGTGTGAGTGTTTGTGTGTGTGTGTGTGTGTGTGTGTCCATCCATGCCTGTGTTTATAAAAGAAATATAATGAACTTAGTTTGTTACCCGAAAGTCTGAGACAACTTTTCCAAATTGAAGTAACTAATGCTTTTAGTTCTGACCCATGCTTTTCAAGACATTTACATAGACATAATGGTTGAAGTGGTGAAGTAGCTGCCAAATTTATACTTTGTTGTTTACAAATATTTAAGTATATAAGAATTCAAACACACCTGCAGAAATTCCTGAAATGAATGCTGTTCCTATTTGTTCTAGATTTTGTATTACCCATGTTGAAGTCTTTTTTTTTTTTTGGCCTTTGGCAGATACCCAGGATCCAGATTTTTTTTTCCCACACCTCGACCTCAATTAAAATGCATAAAACCAAAGTTTTAGAAAGTTTTAGTCATTCAGTGCTTAGACACCAATTTGTCATTTAACAAACAAACTCATGCTGTGATAGCTCCCTGGTTACTATTTGGATTTTGACAAGTACAGCACATCCTGGAAATTATACTCTTTAACCCTGCAATGCGATTTCAATGAAATTTCAGACTTTACTGCAGACAAATTAGAATGCGTGATACATTTGATAGAATTTATCTATCAAATTATACCTAGCGACAGCTATTTATTCAACCTATGAATAAATGCTTCTTGTACTTTAACGAACTGACCAGGAAGAATATCTAATATATTTCATATAATTAAATAACCAATTGCACTTCAATTTGCTCACCTGTGAAAGGCAGGTAACATTAGCGTCTATATCATAACTTTGCTAAAGGTGAAGTGAAGTAATACAAACAAAAAGGTTAGTGCCTTAAACAAGGTAAGTCCTTGACACATATCAACTATTATTTTGTACAGGATAGGGTTATTGTTAAAAAGTGTATGTGAAAAGAAAATAGCATGCCTCAAAGTAAAATCATATTAAATAGTAGAACGTTTCATTTTATGCATGATGAGTTGACATGCTAATATAGAAAAAGACCTTACCTAGTTTGATTTTTATATAAGCTCAAAGTTATTCTAAATTTGCACAATTTTTATTTTTTGCTATGTAATCCTTAAAAAGTAGTTTAAAGAAAACATACTGGCTTTTTAGTAGATGATACAAAAGTTGAATGCAAGGTAGATTTTCAGCTAGGAGAGCTTTAGATATGCAGACAACTAATTTATGTTTGTGTATTTTTACCTGTCTTTTTCTTATTTTTTGGTTCAAATATTTTTTCAATGTACATAACAGGGTGTCTACTCTGCAGCTCATAAATAAAAGAATGCCACAAATAATTAAGTCTACACTTTGGAGTTAATTTCCCATTTCAAGTATATATGGTCAGCTGTTGGTGGTGACATTTGTCTCATTTTACGAAATGAAAAAGCAAATTGAAGCAATTTTATGAAAACTTTTAGTCTCCTTAAAATATTTCTAATAACTTGATAGTACTAAGAGTATGGAATTATGAAACAGCCTTTTTTTCTTCAGATAATCGTTTTCACATTTGACTAGACAGATGGAACAGACACGTTTGGGGGTAGGATCAGAATTTTTGAAGTGAGGCTGCCAGGTAGTCATGGTTTTGACTTTGTATATTTGACTTAAGACATGAACTTCTTATACCTCTGATTAATGGAGATTTTCTTCAGTCTCTTAATTCCCCAAATGAGTAGCTCAAAATTTATTTCTGTTTTTGATTCAGGATTTAATTGCAATTGAAGAAAATGCATAGATGAAGAGACTCTGATTTAAAAGGTAAAATATTTATGTCCATTCCTTTATCATAGTATTTAAATAGTACTTATTCCAGATAAGAAAGCTAAAAATACATAATTAAGAAAATCTGATCTCTCTGTAAACTATTCTGGCATTCCTCACTTACTATCTACTAAAATTAATCTTTGGAATTAGAGGGGGCACAAAATTACTTAAGATGGTTATCAAAAAAAGATGATATTACTATAATGTAGTTATTATGTTTAATGTATTTGATATTCCTAAAATCATTCAGAATATTGACAATCTAATATCATTGATAAATCTAATACTGATAAATCAGACAGATGGACAATCTAAGTATATTAAGCTTTAACCATTCAGAATAACAATTGCAATTTTTAACTAATTTTTAAGGATTACATAGCAAAAAACAGAAACTATGCAAATTTAGAATAACTTTGAGCTTATATAAAAATCAAACTAGGCAAGATATTTTTCTATATTAACATGTCAGCTCATCATGCATAAAATGAAATGTTCTACTATTTAATATGATTTTATTTTGAGGCATGCTATTTTCTTTTCACATACCCTTTTTAACAATAACCCCATCCTGTACAAAATAATAATTGATGTGTATCAAGTATTTAACTTGTTTAAGGCACTAACCTTCTTGTATGCATTACCTCACTTTACCATCACAGTAACATTATGATATGGACACTATTGTTGCCTACATTTCACAGGTGAGCAAATTGAAGTGCAAAGAGGTTAAGCAATTTAACTAACAAGTAGTTAGTGTATACATACGGGAGTTTTTTGAAAGGTTAATCTGCAAGGGAGTTGTTTGGAAGGTTAAGATACATATTTAAATTAGAGATTGCTCTTTTGGTGCAAATGAATTTGCTTTTTGGTGTGTTCAGTGGGTACATCTCCTATCTTTCCCACTTTTTCAACATCTGAATTTTACAAATACTGCCGATATCACTGTATTTAAAGATTGGAATCACTTTTTAAATTTATTTGTTTTGTAGACTAAATATTTCTTTTCCCCAGACTCCTTATCATTCCTACTATTCCACAGAAATTGATTTTCTATATCCATTTCTTATACTGGTAAACATTAATCTCTTTGTAAATGATAACATGCCTGAAATATTGAATTGACTTCACCATGACCCAATTATTTGTTTCCAATAATAAGAGCTTTGTTTTTGAACATATAGCCATCAGAAAGAGTTGTTTCTTTATTTGGAGCCTGTGGCTTGTTTGTATGTTATGTATTAATTGTAGTGCTTTATATAGTCCAGAAACACAGTTTCTTCAGAATATATTTTTCTATGATGACACAAATATCATTTTGTTCTGGAGAAAAGGAAGCAATTGGCATGCTCACAAGGATTCTCAATTCAAGTTAGATAACCCATATTCCATTTTGTGCATGGCAAGTTTACGAAAGTTTACAAACGATAGTTATCAAAGGCTTCATCCAAGAGAATTTCTACTCAAGTGTGGAAAGCATTAATCATACTGAGGAGGAGAATCCCTCAGAGTAAAAACAACTGAAAAGTTCACTTAAAGCTCTTCATCTTCTGAGAACAGAATCTCAGGAACAGTATTTCTTTCTATTGCGTTAGCAATCTCTCAGCAGATTTAACACCCTAAAATATATTTTATATCTTTAAAAGTCACCTTTAATTATCTAAGAAAGACTATTGAAATGTGTACATTTTTCATTGTAAGTGTCTGTCTTATGAGAGAAAAAAAATGGTAAGAGCTTTTAGTAAAAGTAGGGGCTTCAGACTCATTACACGTACTTTCCTACTTTCCTGTTTAACCATAAACACAAAACACAGCATCTATATCCACATCATGGTTATAAACAAGTGTCATCTTTGCTACTAATGTTGTTGATGTTTTAGATGGTTTAACCCAACTTGCTTGATTGAACCACCACTTTAGACACAATTTATTTGGGCAGAATGAGTATTTAAGACATCAAAAATTATTTACTGTATCATATTACCCTTTGTCTCTCACTCCCTTTCCTTTTATCATATTCCTGCTTCCTCCAATTTCTGTTTTTTATTTTATACGAACCGATTAATAGTTGCACACTCTGGTGAAAAATGTTATCCAGAAATGCTGCTGGTTCCTCTGGCGAAAACTTCAAAACATCGCCCCTTTATATTTAGTGATTACAAGATACATATTTATAAACAGCCCAGACTGACCTCTGCTTCTGCGTGCTGGAATTTCTGCACAGAGTCTCTGCTTATGGAGAGTAGGAAAGTGGATGATTGGCAGGGCTTCTCTTTGTGATTGCACTAGCATGGTCCCATTGCCATTTGTGAGTTTTACAAGCAGACCAAAGCTGAAAAAAGAATACAAGTTGGATAGAATAAATAATTGTCCAGAAATGAGTTCTCAAAGTTATGGGGCATACTCACAGTATTTTATGGACTTTTGATTGTTCTATGATCATTCTACAAATGTAATGAATTTTAGAATCTGAAAATAGAACACAGCCAATGTCGTCACTTTTATTCTTGTTTCCCGGGAAGCTTTTAATCTTTAGGCCTCCCAAATCTCTAGCATTGTTCATGCAAGCTACTTGAATTGTCTTAATAATTCTCATATGCAAACTTGCAATAATTGAATCTCTTTTTTGGTTTAAGCGTGATAAAGTCTCCTCTTTATACATTCTACTTTTAAATGATAAGTAGATAACTTTTGGCATTGGTAACTTCTACACCATGAAAATGATCATAGTGTCTGGGAATCTATTCATTTAAAAACCAATTTGAGTAACAATTAGCTTTCTACTTTACTACTCTTAATGATGAATTAAATTTATGACTATATCTTTTATATTCAAAAATTTTGATCTGCTTAAAATATTCAAAATCTTGCTTTTTAAAAATGTAATTGAAAAAACTATAATGCTATCTTTAACATTTTGTCAATTGTTTGTATTTTGATTCAATCATAAGCAGAAATAATGCCTTTGTAATATTTTTTTAGCCAGCAAAAGGTTTGGATTCATAATTATTTTTAGGCATATCTGGTGCTGTCAGTTTAAATGCCAAATACCAGATTATTGCAGCAGAAATGAACGAATGCAATCATTGACAACTTTGGAGAGAGGTCCTTCTCCCTCATAGCAAACACCTGCTGCTGTCTCTAAATGTCATCTTCTTCTCAGTTTAGGCCACCTGCTGTGCTTCCCAAATGACACCTCTCCCTCAGCAGCCAGCCACCTGCAGTTTGTACCAACTGCCTCTTTTACCTTGTTCTCCTCCTCAGAGAAGCTACTTGCTGGGGGGAAAAAAAAATAATTGAGGGTGTGCTTTTTTGGCTAGTGCATTCCCTGCTTGTGTAAAGATGTAACTGCTGGCATTTAGTCACTGCATAATATTTTTATACTCAATGAATTAATTGTTTTGTCAAAAAGAATTCTTATTGGTTTATATAATACTTCATTTTAATAGAGAAATTCCACGTTTTATTTAGTAACTTTTCAAAATAAACTTTTAGGGTTGATTGGCCAAGAAACAAAATTATATGCATAGGAAGTTCATGAGTATTTAGATGTAGTTTGGAAACAGAAGACACCAGTATTGATATTACATTTATTCAGAATTAGGTTTCAACAGAAACTTTAGTTACGTTTCTAGTTTAGTTCACAGATGAAAATGTTCATTCAATTAGACTGAGAAAAGCAAAGAGTTGACTCAACAAAGAGTTTTATCTAATTAAATTCTGGGGGAAATGTGCTAGAGCTTTGCTTGTATTTCTAGATTCATAATATAATGCCATATATGTATTATATTAATGTAACTTACAGTTTTTTAAACTCAATTAAATAGAGCTTAGTATATTTGCTTATCAAGTACTGAATGAACTACTCAGAGGAAGACACACTTCCGCAGAGTTATTTTACCTTCTTAGTACTGTTGTTAGCAGTGATGAATCTGTACAAGTCTGCAGCAACTCGATTCTTGCCTCCTTGGAGAAAATAAATTGGCTGAGGTGCATAAAGCAGAAAGAGAGGCTGAGGCAAGTTTTAGAGCAGGAGTGAAAGTTTATTTTAAAAGTTGTAGAGCAGGAACAAAGGAAGGAAAGTACACTTGGAAAAGGGCCAAGGCCAAGCTCGCGACTTGATAGATCAAAGCGCTTCATCTGGTGTTTTTTTTTTTTTTTCTTTTTTTTTTTGGAGACGGAGTCTCACTGTCTCCCAGGCTGGAGTGCAGTGATGCAATCTCAGCTTACTGCAACTTCCGCCTCCCGGGTTCAAGCAATTCTCCTGCCTCAGCCTCCCGAGTAGCTGGGACTACAGGAGCACGACACCACGCCCGGCTAATTTTTTTTTTTTTTTTTTTTTTTTAGTAGAGACGGCGTTTCACCGTGTTGCCCAGGCTGGTCTAGAACTCCCGAGCTCAGGCAATCCGCCCCCTCGACCTCACAAAATGCTAGGATTACAGGCGTGAGCCACCGCGCCCGGCCGACTTGATGTTTTTATACATAGGCATGGTTCCAAGGTTTCCGATTCTTCTCCCTTGATTTTTCCTTGAAATGGGCTGTCCATATGCACAGTGGCCTGCCAGCACTCGGGAGGGTCTGTATGCGCAGGGTGTTTACTGAAGCTGTGCATATGCTCATTTGAGGTGTTTTTTCTTACCAGTCGAATGTTCCTAGAGGAAGGTCACATACCAGTTAAACTCTGCCATTTTGCGTCTTAGTGCTGTGCTTGAGCTCACTTGCACAATTCCTGAGATTTTATCAGGAGGCTGCTGATCAGCCCCTTCAGGTGTTTTCTGTTAGGAGCTTGCCTTTCCTTGGCGCCGGCTGCGACCAATTATTATTTTAGAGAGACAGTTTAACAACTGCCTGACCATTATCTAATGGTTGACTGACATTCCTGGGGGGCCCTCTTCTGTCTTGCTTATGTGTGTCTAACTACCTACTTTAATACTGTCGTAACATTTTAAAACAGATAAACATGTTACACATATATATTTTTTAACTTAATAAAGTGATGGAACATAAGAGCTATTTGATCATTCTTTCCTCAAGGTACTTACTATTCTGTTAACAATTCTGGTTCTTTTCTAGAACTCAGGGCTGTTGAAGAAATGTATTAGTTATTTTAAGATTAAAATATTAACATAGATTTTATACTCCTTACCAGTTATTTGATTTCATGCTGAGCTTTATCAATCCAAGCCAAACCTTAATACAAGCTCTGGAGGTTGTGGGTCAAAAGATGAACTGATCTAAAACAATTATCTAGGCCCCAAGGTATTCTATATGTCTGCTTAGATAATGTGCAAAGATATTCCAGCTGGACGAATTAGTTCTAATGTCTTCCTTGAGCATTCAAATTTACTTGGCAATGACACAATCCTCTGTTGATTTTTTCCAGAGTGGTCGTGGATCAGAACAAGGTCCCAC
Source organism: Homo sapiens (assembly GCF_000001405.40). Classification (NCBI taxonomy): domain Eukaryota; kingdom Metazoa; phylum Chordata; class Mammalia; order Primates; family Hominidae; genus Homo; species Homo sapiens. The sequence goes on along the minus strand of NC_000024.10, from coordinate 4,669,925 downwards.
ATTTCCCTACTGCTAGATTAATTCTGCAATTTAGGATTTCCCATGAACTGCTCATGGCATTAAGAGTTTGTCCTGGCCGGGCACTGTGGCTCACGCCTGTAATCCCAGCATTTTGGGAGGCCGAGGCGGGTGGATCAAGAGGTCAGGAGTTCGAGACCAGCCTGACCAATATAGTGAAACCCCGTCTCTAATAAAAATACAAAAATTAGCCGGGCGTGGTGGCGGGTGCCTATAGTCCCAGCTACTTGGGAGGCTAAGGCAGGAGAATGGTGTGAACCCCGGAGGCGGAGGTTGCAGTGAGCCAAGTCCCACCACTGCACTCTAGCCTGGGTGACAGAGCAAGACTCTGTCTCAAAGATAAAAAAAAAAAAAAAAAAAAAGAGTTTGTCCTTAGGATGGTTAGAAAGCCTTAGTCTGTTTTAAGTGGCTCCTCCCTTGAGATTTATTGTGGAGATTTATTGGAGTCTTAAGCGAAAAGTTCAGTGGAATATATAAGCTATGAAGTAGACTATAGCATTTAAAAGTGTACAGCAGTTGTAGAGTAGACCAAATGTTTTATCATCTGCATAGTGGAAGAGTGGGTACACCAAAATATATGTATATATATTCGAGACAGTCTCACTCTGTTGCCCAGGCTGGAGTGCAGTGCAGTGGGCCAATCTCAGCTCACTGCAACCTCTGCCTCCTAGGTTCAAGAGATCCTCCTGCCTCAGCCTCCTGAGTAGCTGGGATTACAGGCACGGGCCACCACACCTGGCTAATTTTTGTATTTTTAGTAGACACAGGGTTTCACCGTGTTGGCCAGGCTAGTCTTGAACTCCTGACCTCGTGATCCACCCACCTCAGCCTCCCAAAGTGCTAGGATTACAGGTGTGAGCCACCGCACCCCACCTAATTTTTGTATTTTTAGTAGAGACAGGGTTTGCCATATTGGCCAGGCTGGTCTTGAACTCCTGACCTTAGGTGATCTGCCCACCTTGGCCTCCCAAATTGCTGGGATTACAGGAGTGAGCCACTGTGCCCAGCCTCAGAACACTTTTTATCTACAGGTTATACAGAAAAATCTGGGGACTCCAGTGTTTTATTTGCCTAATTAATCTAGTTTTCAACCTAATATAATGATATGATGCTTGTTGTAAAAAACCGTTGAAATTAATCTGTAAGAAAATTGTAAGGCTCCAAGTATAGTGTGGATTTAATGATTAAAATCTTTGGTTGGAAACTTGTCACAGGATTCATTTTATGGTGAAGGAAGACATAAAGCTCTGTTTTGACTTTGAGTACAGGGAGTCATGAAAAATGTGTCTATAAAGGGTGATTAGACACTGGAATGGGGTTCCAAAGGTGACTTCTCAATATTCTTTTTTGCATGCCTTTCAAACTAGAACAGATGACAGACATCTATTTAGATGACTTATACACAGAACTGTCTTAATAGTCTTATGTTGAACCCATAGATAATATTATAGTGTCAGTGTAATTGCATAAAATTAAAATTAAGAAAAATGACAGGTAGAACTGATAATACATAGAGGTAGCCAGTTGCAATGAATAGAAAAAAGTGTTTTTTAATATATTAAGAAGTATCTGTCCCCCAAATTTTTAGGGAAAGCCCCTGGGCTCCAAAGAAATAGTAAGTTTGAAGCATGCTTTCCTGTACACAGTTCCTTAGGAAGAAGTTGAAATTAATTTTCTAACTATAGCCAAATTTGAGTGAGTTTGCAGATTATTTGTCTCCTGGCTAGCTGTGGATAAAATGATTTTCAGAACTTCTTAAAAATACATTTCAGTAATATACCACCGTGGAAACTAGTAATAATAGTAACTTATCTTAATCCTCTAACATCAGAATTCCATTGAGCTTGTGTTCTTTGCCATCCTTTGCTTACTTCAAAGCTGGAGTCACCAATATAACAATAACATTTTGTTTTTCATGATGGAAAAATTTTACTTTAAAGTTTTCTATTTTTTTTCAAAAATATACTTTCTAATGTCCATCAATGGAAAAAAACTTTCAAAGAAGTTTTTATTTTTCTAATGAAATAATCTTATTTCTTGTCAGAAGTTAATTATTAATAGTATTGCAGCTTATTACATCTTGATTATGATTTGTAGGTTGAGCTTTAGGGGTCCTGCATAAATATCAAAATATATTGCACAATAAAGAAAATGTGTATTTCTCTGTTTCATCAATTTGGCATATCTCCTTTTATTTATAAAATGAGGCATTACTATTGAAGCCATGAGGGAATTTTTCTACAATTATATGATCATGACATTTTATTTCAGATCAGTAACTATTTATTTAGTAACCCAAACATTGCTAGGTGCTGTGATACAAAATTTTGGGGAGTACAAAGATAGTCTTATAAATGCTGTGTTGTTTCATAATTCGTTTTGAACCCAGTGGAAAATAATAATAATGCAAATAATGTATTCATTTTGATTATAGTATTAAATAGCTATATGACCACAGGAAAAAAAGGACAATAAATCTACAGATGTTTCCAGTGTTAAGATTACAATAATATAGAGTTGTTAACATGAATGGATGTTAAATTTTATTGAAAGCCTTTTCTGCATCCATTGAGCACCGGCAGAGATTTCATGATGAAGACACAAAAACAATTGCAACAAAAGCAAAAATTAACATATGTGATCTAATTAAACTAAAATCCTTCTGCACAGCAGAATAAACTGTCAACAGAGTAAACAGAAAACCTACAGAATGGGAGAAAATTTTTGCAAACTATGCATCCAACAAAGGTCTAATATCCAGCATCTATAAGAAACTTAAAGAAATTTATAAGAATAAAAAACAAACAACCCCATTAAGAAGTGGACAAAGGAAACGAACCCACACCTTTCTAAATAAGACGTACATGAGGCCAACAATAATATGAAAAAAAGCTCATCATCACTGATCATTAGAGAAATGCAAATAAAAACCATGAGATACCATCTCACACTAGTCAGAATGGCTATTATTAAAAAGTAAAAAAATAACAGATGCTGGTGAGGTTACACAGAAAAAGGAACGCTTATACACTGTTGATGGTAGTGTAAATTAGTTCAACCATTGTGGAAGACAGTGTGGCAATTCCTCAAAGACTTAAAGACAGAAATGCTATACTATCCAGCAATCCCATTACTGGGTATATACCCAAAGGAATACAAACTGTTCTATTATACAGACACATGCATGCTTATGTTCGTTGCAGCACTATTCACAATAGCAAAGACATGGAATCAACCTAAATGCCCATCAGTGAAAGACTGGGTAAAGAAAATGTGGTGCATGTACACCACGGAATATTATACAGCCATAAAAAATAAGATTATGTTGTTTACAGAGATGTGGTTGGAGCAGGAGGCCATTATCCTTAGCAAACTCACAGAGGAACAGAAAACCCAATTCCACATGATCTCACTTATAAGTGGGAGCTAAATGATGAGAACACATGGATATATAGATGGGAACACCACACACTGGGGCCTTTCAGAGGGTGGAGGGTTGGAGGAGGGAGATGATCAGAAAAAAATAACTACTGGGTACCAGACACCTGGGTGATGACAATTTGTACAACAAACCCCCTGACACAAGTTTACCAATGTAACAAACCTGTGCTTGTACTCCTGAACTTAAAATAAAAGTCAAAAAAAAAACCTGTCCAAAATTTAAAAATCATGTAGAGTAGTATCCATACATTTCACAGATGCATCATATTTTCAAATGACTATTTAGCTGCCTCAACAGAAATGTATTGAAGTGTTAAATTCCATCTGTCTATGCATTCCAGACCATATTAATTTTCTCCTTTTCTAAAATCCCATAGTATTTTGGCTCTTTAGTACAAATTACTATGGCTTGTTATCTCACTTATGTAGTGATGCAAGCCTTGAATCACCCAATGAGGCCAGAAAAAAATGTACTGTATTCTTCAATCTGAATCATACTTAGTACCTAGCTTAATACTATGTATTAGGTTGGACCAGAAAAAATTGCTAATATCTGAATATTTTTAATCTACAAATTGATAGTTTTATTTAGTACCGCCTAACAGTTAATAGATAATCAATAAATACTTGTTGAATAGACAAATGAATTAAAATATAAAGAAAATTTATTATGTACATATTCTCAATAACTTTGTTTAAGGCTAAATTTAGAAAATAAAACCTGAAAATTTCTCTTAATCAACAAGTGTTCTGTCTTTCCTGTGCTATTTTATGCAATGAAAATCTTACTATGTTGGTCAAACAAATTCAAATGAAACATTTTATAATATTTATTACATTTTTGTCTAATTTTGTTTTCAGTACATTTATTAACAGACTAATAGAAGAAAAAATTTACATTTGTATTGATAACATTAGTTAACATTTGTAATTGATATAAGCATAAGGAGTTTATGCAATGACTACTTAAGCTATTTGCCCCTTCAATGGGAGATTTGCAGATTGTTTTATTGATGAACTTTGCTATTATCTTGATGCATAGAAGTCTTTTTTTTTGGCATCTGTCTTCATTGGATTTAATTTTATTTAAAATGTTAAAAAGATATCATTTTGTTGAAAGAAATAGTATGACTGTACCTCCAAATTGGAGCTGACTGTGTCTTTGTAATATTGATGCCAAAAATTTTTGTTGAAATAGTTGTAGTATATGGCAAAGTTAATACTTTATAAAGCCAGCAGATATAGTATGATTGCTTTTAAAATGTAATTACATAAGTAGGAAGCTTTAAATGTTCATAATATGTATGATAGTTCTGCTTAAAGTAACTAATTTTAAGACAATTATTAAGAACATGGACTTTGGAGCCAGTCTGCCTGGATTTGAATCTCAGCTCTTTCACTCACTTGTTATGCAACTTTGAAAAAGTTACTTAAAGTTGTGCCTTAGTTTTCTAATATGTAAAATGTTGATACTAATATTTATTTCATAGGTTAGATATGAGGATCAAATTAATTTATATATATGAAGTAGTTAAACTCTCTGATACATAAAAATACACTAAGAAATTAAAATTATAATTATTTTGTTTTAAAAAGTGAAATATCTAGGCAAATCCAGTTGATTACTCACAAGTCATTTTTTTCTGATAATATTTATAAGTATTTTACTAAAGAATAATTTTCATACAACAAAATGCATAAATTTAAATGTACAGTTAAGTCTTGACAAATGTATACACTAAATACAATACACTAAATACAAATATATCAAATACAAATAAACCCAACACTCTATATATCATTGAAATTAAATGTTCATATTATGAAACAAGAAAATTCCTGTACCCAACGTAAGTAAATACATCTTTCTCAGAAGCAAGATTTTGATTGTTTTCAACAAGGAGTGCTTCATCTATTTCTGAAATAAATATACATGGAATTGAAATGGGAAAGGTTCCCTTGTCCTCCACACAGGGTGTGCAATGGGGGTGTGGCTTGCTTCTTCAATACCCTGCTGTTCAAACCTCTAGGGGAGCATACAGATGGGCAGGCCGTGGGGTTCCAACCCCACAGCAGTGTCTAGGGGTGAATGTTTACAGTTCCTGAAGCCCCAGTGGGCGTGTGTTAGAGGGTGCCGTTTTAGTTTGCCATCTATGGGTAGCTTGTGTTAACCAGCTGAATTAGACCCCCTTCCTTATCACAAGGACAGAAGGTTTCTGTGTCCTGAGGTTTCTTGCCTTGGTGTACCGGAATAATTGGATCACACAGGGGCTTGGAGAATTAGTGCGAAGTTTTATTGAGTGGAAGTAGCTCTGCGCTGATGGGGGAGCCAGAAGGAAGGTGGTTTTCCCATGGAGTTGGGCCACTTGGTGGCCCCGGCTCTCCTCCGACTGCCCCGGCCAAACTCACCCTTGTCCCACCCGTCAATGGCCTGCCTGCTGGCGAGCAGGTGCCTGTCAGAGCGCTCTTCTGCCAGAGTGCTCCTCTTGACGTCCTCTTGACGACCAGCCACTTGCGTCTTCTTCCACTGATGTGCTCCTCTCAACATGTGGTCACTTGTGTCTGCCCACTAGAGTCTCCGGTTTTTATAGGCTCAGGATGGGGGCATGGCAGGCCAGGGTGGTCTTGGGAAATGCAACATTTCGGCAGGAAATGCCCGTCCTCACCTAGGTCCGTGGGGCTGGAGCCCTAGGCAGTGACCTGCCTTTCTCTACCTGGCACTTCCCTTCCCACCTTCTGTGTCATTTAAAGGGACTATGCTCTTCCCTTCCCAGCACTCTCGTGTCAGAATCATGCAGTATGCACTGTTTGGTGTCTGGCTTGTTTCTTTCATTACTACAGCTGTAAAATTCATCCGTGTTCTTGCATGTATCAGTAGTTTATTTCTTCATTTATTGCTAAGTATTGTTCTTGTTATGATATATTATAATTTATTTATCCATTCACCTGATGATAGACATTTAGGATATTATAAAGTATCCGTGTCCTTATAAAAAGTGGGAGACACATCAGCAGTGCACACACACAGAGAAAATGCCATGTGAGAACACAGCAAAATGCCATCTGCAATCCAGAGAGGCCTCAGGGAAAAAAAAACACAAAAAATTGCTGACATCTTGATCTTGGACTTCCAGCCCCCCGAACTGTGAGAAAATAAATGTCCATTGTTGAAGCCACACAGCTTGTCTTTTTCTATGGCATTCCTATCACACTATACAGGACTCTATTCTCTTAACTGGTGTATTTATATTAATTTATGTACGTTTATCATAAGTCTTCATATCTGTTGGGTAATTCCTCCAGCTTATTTCTTAACTTCCAAAGAGCTGATACTCCTAACTGTCTCATTTACAAATAATGAACATGATACATCTATTCATTATTTATATGCTCTTAAATCCCTTTCAAATGTTTTGTAGTTTTTAATGTGAAAGTATTACACCCCTTTTAGTAATTTCTAGATATTTCATGGCTTTTATTTCTATTGGAAATAGTATCCTTTATCCATTTTTCTAAATGCTTTCCACTAATATATAGAAATAATGCATAGATAGATATATTCAGCAACTTTGGTACTCACATTATTTTTCATAATTTACCTGAAGATTCTTTTTTCCCCATATTCAATCATGATATATTTTAACATTTATAGATTTGTTACTGTGATACAATGTTCCTAACTTTCATTTTTTTGTTTAGTCTTGTTACACTGGCTAGGATCTCTAGTAAAATATTGATGTAAAGTAGTAGGAGTGATTCTTGTTCAATGTCAGCGGAAAGCTTACAATAGATCAACATTTTGTGAGGTGTTGCTGTAGAATTTTTGTAAACATCACTTACATTAACAAAGTTCCCTTTTCATCTTAGTTCACTAAGCATTTTTTATGAATTGATGTTTAATGCTATCACATATTTTTTACATCTATTGAGATTACTGCTTAATTTTCCCTATTAATTTTTAAATGATTTGTTACATTACATTACAAAGATTAGGCCAGCCATGCAATTTCTAGATTTTTACCAATATTGCAATAGGTTTCATATTGATTGATCCATATGCAAACAATTTGTTTAGGGCTTCTTTTCATTTATGTGTATGAGAGAGTATTGTCTGTATTTTAGTTCAATGATAATGGCTTTGTGATGCTCTGGACAAAATAATATGCTGACCTCCTAAAACTATTTGGAAAATATTTTATTTTTTTCTGTTTTCTGGAAAATTTTATGTAATATTTATCTGATGCCCTCTTCTTATACTTAATGGAATTCACTGGTCAAACAACCTGAAGCTAGAATTTTTTTGTAGAAAGCATTTTACTTACATATTTAATTTCTTCATTAAATATAGAAATATTCAAGTTTCTTTTTGTTAAGTCACATTTGATAAACTGCCTTTCTCTATGAATTTCTCATTTTTTAAGTAATTTACAAATTTATTAACATGAAGATTTCTCATAATATTCTCTTATATTTAAATATCTGTTGAATCTCTAATGATGTACCTTTTTTTCTGACACTCTTGATTAAATATTTTCTGTCTTTGTTGAGAAATTTATCAACTTTAATCTTTTCAAAAAAGGAAAATTTGGGTTGGATGATCTCTATGTGCTTGTTTTATATTGCAATAGTTTCCATTATTACCTTTATGATTCCTCCCTTCTACTTTCTTAGGTTTAAGTTGCTGTTTTTGTCTATTATTTGAAATGTATTATCTCATTGATTTCAGTCTTTTTATTATAATATCTGTTAATACTACAAATTATCTTCTATGTATGAACTTTGCTGCCTTCTACAACTTCTGTACTTAGTATTTTCAGTAAATTCAGTTTAAAATATTTAAAATTTTATGTCATTTCTTCTTTGATCAATGAGCTATTTAGTAGACTATTTTTGTAATATAAAAATATGGGCTTTTATTCACAATCATTTTGTTACTGATTTCTAGTTTAATTGTACTGTGATCAAAGAGCATATGCTGTATGATTTCTATGTTTTTAAAATGATATTACATGCTTAATATTTAAACACAAAATAAACTATTGTGCTGTAGTTGTAATATTTCCAGTTTGAGGTGCAATAGAAGAACTAGCATAAATTTCTTTTTTCATCTTTACTATTACACAAATGGAAGATTTATCCTTATGTAAATCTTAGTAAACTTAGCATAGGATTTCTTTTCTTTTTCTTACTAACTTGAGAATGTTCATCTTTCCATTAAAGGAAGCACTGTATGGCTTCTCCTTGTCATATCCAAACAACCAGCATCACTACTCTTATTCTTAGGGTCCATATGCTTTGTTCAAGGAAACACAAGCATGGCATTACTGCCATATTCAATTGGATAATGGTGATGTCTACAAAGTAACAAACAGCTTAAACCGTAGATATACCAGAAAAAGGGATGATTCAGGTCCCAGATGGGATAGAGTGAGATGGCATAAAATTTCATCATGTTACTCAGAATGGTACACAGTTTAAAACATATGAAATCTTTATTTCTGGAATTTCCTATTTAACATATTTGGATTGCAGTTGACAGTGGATAACCACAGGTAAGAGGGACCTCCTGTATTGGTACTTAAATATAACATTTTACTCTTTGCTTTTAATTTTAACTGCATGACTTATGTTCATTTGCTTCTTATTTATTGCCTTTGGAATGATGTTTTTTGCTATCATCCCACTCTTCTTCTAAAAGCTTGATAGTTAAACACTTTTTCCTCGTATTATAGTGTTTACTCTAAAAATACTAACACTCAAACTTGATTTTTAAAGGTTAATGCTAATGATATTTTTCTCTTATTCTGAATAAGAATCACAGATCCAAACCATATTATAATGTTTCTTCTACCTGATGAACATAAACATATTTTATCATTTCCTCTCATTCATATCTGTGGATGAAGAATTTTCTGTTTGTAATTTATAAAATTTATTAGTTACTCTTTATTTATTTTAATATGCAACCTACTTTGCATTTTTTCATATTTTATTTTAAATTTGGGGTACATGTGCAGGTTTGTTACATCAGTGTATTTGGTGATGTTGAGGTTTGGGATACAATTGATCCTGTCACCCCGGTAGTAAACATAATACCTAGTAGGTAGTTTTTCAACTCTTCCCCCATCCTCTTTCCCCACACTAGTTGCCCCCAGTGTCTATTTTTCTCATTTTATGTCTGTGTGTACCCAATATTTAGCTCACACTTATAAGTGAAAATATACAATTATCCTTTTTTAAAGATATTCTTGTAGGTTATAATATATGGATTTAGATTCTAAACTGGTAGGTATACTCTTTCAGCTTTATCTGTTTTCAAAACAAATCAACTGAGCTTTTTACCTTTTTAATTATTTTTAGTTTTACTATTTTTATTTGTATATTTTCTGGTTCTTTGCTAAAATTTAAAATTTGTTTTTAGTTTCCTTGAGCATATTGAACAAAATTATATTAAAGTTTCTCTCTCATAATTCTGTTAGTTGGATGCCCTCTGTGACTGTTTCTATTAATTGTTATTTCACTTAATGTTTTGTCATGTCATCTTCTGTTTTCATATGACTGATTAGAATTGATTGGAAGAGGCTAGGGACACTAGCAAACCAGACTAATATAATTAAAAGGATAAAAAAAGAGTCACAGATAAGCTTTAGTCACATAAATATCTAATCAAATTTCTATTCACTCTTCTCCTACAGTTTAGCTCTTTTGCATCCCAATCCAAATCAATGTGAAATTTTTAGAAGTATGGGTCAGCTTTCCAGCTTCTTCACAGCCTCTTAAGACTCAGCAATTTCTCTTAGGGGAAAAAATAGGCTCCAAAACTTGTTTCACTTTTCTGATTTTTTTCTGCTTTCACATCTTTGCACTGTAATTTCTCACTGCCTTGTTCTATCCTCCCCCAATTATTTTAAGTGATAGTTTTTATATTCTGTCTAAGATTTTTAGGTGTTCACAGAATGATTTGCCCAAATTGCCTAGACAGCCAAAATCAATAGGATGAATACAATACACAGTGGCTTCTTTTGCACTTAGTTTTTTAAATTTTTTCAAACATTTATATGCAATACATTGTATAATTTCAATGTAAAGTTATATGAGTTTTGGTACTTGCATGCATATGTGTAATGACAAATGACAAAAATGACACAGAATAATTTCATTCACCCTAAAAAATCTGCTTATGCTATCCCTCTGAGGTCAAACCCTTCCTCTGTCCCTAATATCTGATAAGCCCTACTCTGTTTTCCATTCCTATGTATATTTTTTAAATATTTTCCAGAATGGTAAAGAAATGAAATCGTATGTAATATTTTGAAAGAAGCTTCTTTTATTCATGGTAGTGCATAATTTATCCATGTCATGGAATGTATTAAGAGTTAATTCTTTTTGTGACTACATAGTATTCCATTGCATGGATGTACCATAATTTGTCCATGAATTAAATTGTTGAAGGATTTCTTACTTATTTTCAGTTTTTGGAAGTTATGAATAAAATCGTTATATACGTTTATGTACACAGTATTTAAATTGTTTTAAATTTGGGGCAATTATAAAAATTCTGCTACAAACATTCATGTACAAACATTTGTATAGATGTAAGTTTTCATTTTCTATGGTAGAGACCTAGAAGTGGGATTGCTTGGTTATACACTAAGTGTATCTTCAAATATATATGAAATTTTGAAATTGTTTATCAGAGGAACTGTATCCTTTTATATTCTGCCCACCAATGTATAAACATTCCTGTAACTTTGCATGTTTGTTAGCACTGGTGATTGTTAATTATTTTTGTAAATTTCACCAATTCTAATAGGTATGTAGTGGTATCTCATTATGTTTTTAATCTAATGCCATTGTATATCTTTTTATGCATTTATTTGCCATGTGTATTTATTTTTGGTTAAGCGTCTGCTCATATATTTTGCCCATGTTTAAATTGACTCACTAGTTTTGTTATTGCTGAGAATTGAGAGTTTTGAAAATATTCTGAAAAGGTTTTTGAAGGCTATGTGATTTTCCATTTTTTTTAAATTCGGTACTTTGCTTTTTTCATTGTCTGTTTTTTCTTTAACTTTAATTTTAATTTCCGAGGTACATGTGCAGGATGTGGAGGCTTGTTACATAGGTAAATGTGTGCCATTGTGGACCCCGACAGGTCCCAGTGTGTGTTGTTCCCCACGATGTGTCTTTCTGTTCTCATCATTCAGCTCCCATTTATAAGTAAGAACATGCAGTGTTTGGTTTTCTGTTCCTGCGTTAGTTTGCTGAGGAAAATTTCTTCCAGTTCCATCCATGTCCCTGCAAAGGACATGATCTCATTCATTTTTCTGGCTGCATACTATTCCATGGTGTTTGTGTACCACATTTTCTTAATCCAGTCTACCATTGATGGGAATTAAGACTGATTCAGTGTCTTTACTATTGTAAATAGTGTTGCAGTGAGAATACATAGGCATGTATCTTTATAACAGAATGATTTATACTCCTTTGGGTATATATCCAGTAATGGGTTTGCTGGGTCAAATGGTATTTCTGCTTCTAGGTCTTTGAGGAATCACCACACTGTCTTACACAATGGTTGAACTAATTTACACTCCAATCAACGGTGTAAAAGCATTCCTTTTTCTTTGCAACCTCGCCACCATCTATTGTTTCTGGACTTTTTATTAATCGCCTTTCTGACTAGCATGAGATGGTATCTCACTGTGGTTTGGATTTGGATTTCTCTAATGATCAGTGATGTTGAGCTTTTTTTCATGTTTGTTGGATACATGAATGTCTTCTTTGGAGAAGTGTCTGTTCAAGTCCTGTGTCCACTTTTTAATGTGTTTTAATTTCGTTTTTCTCTAGTAAATGTGCTTAAGTTCCTCGTAGATTCTGAATGTTAGACTTTTGTCAAATGGATAGATTGCAAAAAATTTCTCCCTTTCTGTAGGTTGTCTGTTCACTCTGATGATAGTTTCTTTTGCTGTGCAGAAGCTCTTTAGTTTAGCTAGATCCCATTTGTCAATTTTTGCTTTTGCTGCAATTGCTTTTGGTGTTTTCATCATGAAATCTTTGCCTGTGCCTATGTCCTGAATGGTATTGCCTACATTTTTTTCTACAGCTTAGGGTTTTACATTTAAGTCTTTAATCCATCTTGAGTTGATTTTTGAATACAGTGTAAAGAAGGGGTCCAGTTTCAATTTTCTGCATATGGCTAGCCAGTTTTCCCAGCACCATTTATTAAATAGGGAATTCTTTCCCCATTGCTTGATTTTTTCAGATTTATCGAAAATCAGATGAGTGTTGGTGTGTGGTCTTATTTCTGAGTTCTCTACTCTGTTCCATTGGTGTATGTGTGCTTGTTTTTGTGCCAGTACCATGCTGTTTTTCTTACTGTGTCCCTGTAGTATATTTTGAAATCAGGTAGTGTGGTACCTCCAGATTTGTTCTTTTTGCTGAGGATTGTCTTGGCTATTCAGGCTCTTTTTGGTTCCATACACATTTCAAAATAGTTTTTTTTTCTAATTCTATGAAGAATGTCAGTGGCAATTTAGTGGAATAGCATTGAATCTATAAATTACTTTGGGGCAGTATGGCCATTTTCATGATATTGATTCTTCCTATCCATGAGCATGGAATATGTTTTCATTTGTTTGTGTCATCTCTGATTGCTTTGAGCAGTGGTGTGTAGTTCTCCTTAAAGAGATTCTTCACTTTCTTTGTTGGACGTATTCCTAAATATTTTGTTCTTCTTGTAGCAATTGTGAGTCGGAGTGCATTCAAGATTTGGCTCTCTGCTTGCCTGTTGTTTGTGTATAGGAATGTTAGCGATTTTTTGTACATTGATTTTTGTATCTTGAGACTTTGCTGAAGTTGCTTATCAGCTTAAGAAGCTTTGGGGCGGCCGGGCGCGGTGGCTCAAGCCTGTAATCCCAGCACTTTGGGAGCCTGAGGCGGGCGGATCACAAGGTCAGGAGATCCAGACCATCCTGGCTAACACAGTGAAACCCCATCTCTACTAAAAATACAAAAAATCAGCTGGGCATGGTGGCAGGCGCCTATAATCCTAGCTACTCGGGAGGCTGAGGCAGGAGAATGGCGTGAACCTGGGAGGCGGAGCTTGCAGTGAGCCGAGATTGTGCCACTGCACTCCAGCCTGGGCGACAGAGAGAGACTCCATCTCTAAAAATAAAAATAAAAAATAAAAATAAAAATAAAAAAAAGAAGCCTTGGGGCTGAAACAATGAAGTTTTCTAGATATAGGATTATGTCATTTTCAAACAAAGATAATTTGACTTTCTCTCTTCCTATTCAAATACCCTTTATTTCTTTCTCTTGCCTGATTTCCCTGGCCAGAACTTCCAATACTGTGTTGAATAGGAGTGGTGGGAGAGGGTATCTTTGTCTTGTGCCAGTTTTCAAGAGGAATGCCTCCAGCTTTTGCCCATTAGGTATCCTATTGACTGTGGGTTTGTCATATATGGCTCTTTTTATTTTTGAGGTACGTTCCTTCAATACCTAATTTATTGAGAGTTTTTAGCATGATGGGATATTGAATTTTTGCAAAGGCTTTTCTGCTTCTATTGAGATAATCATGTGTTTTTTGTCTTTATTTCTTTATGTGAAGAATCACATTTATTGATGTGTGTATGCTAAACCAGCCTTGCATCCCAGGGATGAAGCCAAAGTGATTGTGGAGGATAAGCATTTTGATGTGCTGCTGGATTTGGTTTGCCAGTAATTTATTGAGGATTTTTGCATCGATGTTCAACTGGGATACTGGCCTGAAGTTTTCTTTTTTTGTTGTATCTCTGCCAGGTTTTGGTATCAGTATAATGCTGGCCTCATACAATGAGTTAGGGAGGAGCCTCTCCTTTTCCATTGTTTGGAATAGTTTCAGTAGAAACGGTACCAGCTCTTCTTTGTACCTCTGGTAGAATTCAGTTGTTAATCCGTCTGGTCCTGGAATATTTTTGGTTGGTAAGCTATTTAACACTGCCTGAATTTCAGAACTAGTTATTGCTCTATTCAGGGATTCAAGTTCTTCCTGGTTCAGTCTTGGGATGGTGCATGTAATTCTCTTAACAATGTCTTTTGCAGAGAAAAACTTTTACATTTTGATGAGGTCCAAATCATCCATTGTTTAGTTTTATAAATTGTATTTGTTTATGTCACATCTAAGAACTATTTTTCTATCTCAAGTATAAGAATATATTCTCTATGTTTTATCCTATGACTTTTACAGTTTTATGATTTTAAGTCTGCAATCAATTTTTAGATACTTTTTATGAGGTATAAGGTATGTGTCTAAATATATTCTTCATATGGATGTCCAATTATTCTAGAAATTGTTTTCAAATAATTCTCTTGTTTTATCAAGCTGCCTTTGCATCTTTGTCAAACCCAATCGAGTATATTTTTGTGGGCCTATTACTTGACTCTCTGTCCTGTCTTATTGATCCACATTTCTATCTTTTTACAAAACAACACAATCTTGATTACTGTAGCTTAATGGTATGTCTTAAATCAGGTACTATGAGTCTTCCAACTTTTTACTAGTTTTTCCAATTTGCTTTTCTTTCCAATTCTATTCTAGTTCCTTTGCCTATCCATTGAAGTTTTAAATTCAGTTTCTCTATATCTAAAAATAACTTTCACTAGAATTGTGAGATTTTAGTAAATTTATAGATCAATTTCGGAGGATTCAACACCTTAACTATATTGAGTATTTCTTCCATGAATATAGATCTATTTATTTAGGTACTAGTTGACTTATTTCATGGTTTTATAAATACAGATTAATCACTTTTTTTATATTTATACCAAAGTACTTCATGGCATAATCATAAATGATACTGTGTTTTAGATTAGGATATCTAATTTTTGTTTCTATTACATAGAAATAAGATTGATTTTTACGCATTCAGCTTGTATTTTGTGTTCTTTCTAAATGCACCTGTTAGTTTTAGGAGCTGATTAGGAACAATTTTACTTCTTTTTTTCCAAGATGTAAGCCTTTCACTTCTCTTTTGTGTTTTATTGCACTGCCTAGGGCTTCCAGGACTCGGTTGAATAGAAATTATGGGAGTGGAGTACTTTGCCTTGTTCTGAATCTTAGCAAGAAAACATTCAGCCTCCCACATAAAGTATGACGCACAATTTTTGTAAATGCCCTTAATGACGTTAAATAAGTATTCTTGTATTCCTGGCTTGTGGCATTTTTAGCATGAATAGATGTTGAATTTTTTAAAATGTCCTTTTCTACATCATTTGACATAATTATATAATTTTTATATTTAGTTTGTTGATATTGTGTATTGCATTGATTTATTCTCAAATATTGAACTAGACTTATATTCCTAAGATAAATCCCACTTTGACTTGGTGTGTCATTTTCTTTATATTTTGCTAAATTTGATTTCCTATTTTTTGAAGATTTTTGCACCTATGTTTATGAGGTTTATTCATTTGTATTATTTAAATTGTAATTTTTTAATCTGGATATGCAAAAATGGTATCTTTTTTTTCTCTTAAATGAGTTGGAAAGGGTTCCCTCTCTTGTTTGCTGAAAGAAACTATGCAGAATACATGCTATTTCTTCCTTAAAGAGTGGGTAAAATTTGTCAGTGAAGCCATCTGGGTCTGCAGTTAAATGTTCTGGAAGGTTTCTAAATATAAATTTAACTTTTAAAATAGTTTCACAACTATCAGATTTATCTACTTCTCCTTGCATGAGCTTTGATGGTTTGTGCATTTCAAGAAAAGTCTCCTTTTCATAAAAGTTTTAAAATTTGTTTACAAGTTTTTCATATAATTTCTTATTCTTTTTATGTATGTAAGGTCTGTTGCCTGTTGTGATATTCCCTCTTTCATTCTTTCTTTCTTTCTTTTTCTTTTTTTTTTTTTTTTTAGATATGAGGTCTTTCTTTGTAACCCACCCTGGCGTGCAGGAGTGCAGTCATAGCTCACTGCATCTTGAACTCCTAGGCTCAAGTGATTCTCCTGCCCAAGCCTTCCAAGTAGATGAGACTATAGGTGTCAATTACCACACTTAACTAATATATATATAAATATATATGTGTGTGTGTGTGTGTGTGCGTCTATATTTATATTTATTAATACAGGGCCTAGTTTCTTACAGTATATTTTTTTCTTGGTTAGTCTTAATATTTTCTATTTTATGGATTTTTTTTTTTTTTTAGATGGAGTCTCACTCTGTCTCCAGGCTGAAGTGCAGTGGCACTATCTCAGCTTAGTGTGATCTCTGCCTCCCAGGTTCAAGCGATTCTCCTGCCTCAGCCTCCCGAGTAGCTGGGAATACAGGCACGTGCCACCACACCCAGCTAATTTTTGTATTTTTAGTAGAGACGGGGTTTCACCATGTTGGCCAGGAAGGTCTCAATCTCCTAACCTCGTGATCCACCCTTCTCAGCCTCCCAAAGTGTTGGGATTACAGGTGTGAGCCACCGCACCCGGCCTGGATCTTTTTAAAGAAATAACTTTTGGATTGAATTCTACTTTTACCTATATTATATTCTTTCTTCTTCTTAGTTTGGATCAGTTTATTCTCTCTTTTCTAGTTTGTTAAGACATAAATTTTAAATTATTGATTTGAGAACTTTATTATTTTCTAATATTGTCAAATAATTGTAATTTAATTTTTATTTTAATTTATTAAAAATGGCTTCTAATATTTTCACTTCCTTTAAAATTAAACTTTAAAAAATTGAAGTAAAAACCCATTAACAATTTTAAAGTGCCAAAATCAATTACATTTAGTAATACTCCAATGATGTGTAATTACTTACTTTATTTTGTTTCAAAGCATTGACATCATTCCAAAATAAAATCCTGTACTCATTAAAATACTTCCTTTTTGATCAATGTGTTATTTAATTTAGAAGTGCAATTGTTTTTAATTTACAAATATGTGGGTATTTTCCAAATAACTTTCTAAATCTCTGACTTAACTCCACTGTGTTCAGGGAACATACTATTTGTGACTTTAATTATTATAAAATTTATAAGTTTTGTTATGTGACTCAGAATATGATACATCTTTGCATATGTTCTATGTGCACTTGTAAAGAGGATTTTCTGTTGTTAAGTAGTCTGCTCTATAATATCAATTATGTTATGTTGACTGATAGTGTTGTTGAGGTATTCTATACTCTTGCTGATTTTCTATCTGCTGTTATTACTGATAACTAAGAAGTGGTTGTTAAAATTTCTAAGTATAATTGTGGATGTGTCTAGTTTTCCTTTAATTTTGTTTGCTTTTATTTCATGGATTCTGATGTTCTCTTGTTAGGTGAAAGTGTATTTAGGACTGATATGCCTCCTTGATGAGTAAATAATTTTATTTTTATATAACATACCTCATCCCAAGGTTGTTGCTTTTAATTAGTGTTTGCATGACATACCACTTTTCATCCTTTTAATAACTGTAGTTTATGTGGGTTTCTTGCAGGCAGCACATCGTTAGTCTTGTTTTGTTTTTTAATCCTCACAATCTTTGTCTTTTAAATGGTGTGCTTAGGTCATTTACATTTTAGGTAATTACTTATATGTTTGTACTTAGGCCTATTATTTCATCATTTGTTTTATTTTTGCATATTCTGTATCTCCATCTTTAGATTATTTGTATTATTTTTATTCTGGCTTTGCAACTCTATTTATTTGCATATTTTCTTTAGCAGTTGCTCCAGGCTTCAAATATACATATATTTATTTATACATGTATAAATGCACAAAAGGGGACTTCAAAAAGATCATGGAAAATGATATTTTAAAATAAAAATATAGAGTATAAATTTTATTTCTCAATATAAGCTTCATCAAGTTCCAAACAGTTTTGTAAACAATGATTTGGGTCGATTCATTCTGCCTTAAAGGTCCTGGGAATTTAGCCATGTCAATGCAGCTTTTCTTTACATAATTAACTGAGAAAATGTGTGCCCTTTACAGTTTTTTAAGATTAGGAAACAAAAATAAGTCAGATGGTGCCAAATCAAGACTGTATGATGGATGCCTAATAATTTTCCATTGAAACTCTCGTAAAGGATTCCTTATTTGATGAGAATAAGCATGGGAATTGTGACAGAGAACTCTCTGGTAAAGCTTTCCCCAGTGGTTTTCTCCTAAACATTTGGCTACCTTTCTCAAATCACTCTCATAATAAGCGAATGTTATCATTCTTTGACCCTCCAGAAAGTTAACAAGCAAAATGCCTTGACCATCTGAAAAATCTGTTGCCATTACCTTTTCTCGATCTGTCCACTTTTGCTTTGACTGAAACACTTCTACCTCTTGATAGCCATTGCTTTCGTCTTCGGGATCATACTGGTAAAGCCATGTATTATCTCCTGTTACAAGTCCTTGAATACATGTTTCAGCATCTTCATCCCATTGTTTGACATTTCCAATGAAAACTCTGCTCTTATCTGCAGATGACCTGGGTGCAATGGTTTTGGCACCCATCAAGTGACAAATTTGCTCAACATCAACTTTTCATCCAGAATTGTGTAAGCTGAACTAATGGCTATGTGCATGATTTTGGCTATTATTGCACCTGTTAATTGTGGGTCCTCTCCAAATAGGGTGTGAACAAGATGAATTTGTTTTTTGGAAATTGATGTGGATAGTCTGCTGCTGAGGCCTTCACCTTCAACTTTTTTTATCCCTTCTGAAAATGAGTTATTCATCATAAACTGCTGGTTTCTTTGAGGCATTGTCCCCATAAATTTTTTGTAAAGCATGAATGTCATCATTTTTTCACTCAAACTTCACCACAAATTTGATGTTTATTCTTGCTTCAATTTTTGCAGAATTCATGTTCATTTTTGTCATATTTATCATATCTACATACATTGATAAGCTCAAAATCATACCAGTAAAATAATATCTTTTTTCTTTAAATTGTCCAACATAATTTAAAGAACTCAAGTGATCTAAAATAGTACATTATATTTACCAATGTTGTTTATATTTCCTCGTTCTTAAATTTTTGTTTTTCTTCTGTTATTCTTTTTCTGCATGAAGGACTTTCACTAGAATTTCTTTTAAACAGATCTAATGGCAACAAATTCTCTTAGTTTTCCCTCATTTAAGAATGTCTTTATTTTGCCTTTACTCTTAATGGATATTTTTGTTTACTTTTAGTTGAAAAATAAAATTGTATATATTTGTGGTTTACAAAATAATGTTTTGATATACGTATACATTGTGGAAAGGCAAAATCCAGGTATCAGAGGAAACA
The DNA here is from genome assembly GCF_000001405.40 of Homo sapiens. NCBI lineage: Eukaryota > Metazoa > Chordata > Mammalia > Primates > Hominidae > Homo > Homo sapiens. Next base: position 4,650,223 of record NC_000024.10, on the reverse strand, counting down.
CCTCATCTACCTATCATTTTAGGAAGGCGACAGCACAAAATCTACTCTCTAAGCAATTTCCAAGTATATGTTATATTGTTATTAACTATAGTCACCATTATGTACAATCAGTCTCAAACTTATTTCTCCTAATTGAAATGTTATGTCCTTTGACAAACATCTCCCCAATCCTCAACGCTCCCTACAGCTTCTTCTAACTACCATTTTACTCTCTGTTTCTAAGAGTTTGATATTTTAAATTCCACATATAAGTCAGATAACATGATCTTTTTCTTTCTGTGACTGGCTTATTTCACTTAACATAATGTTTGACAGATTCATACATATTTTCACAAATGACAAGATTTTCTTCTTCCAAAAGGCTGAACAGTATTCCATTGTGCTTATACACCATGTTATGTTTATTAGGTTGATTCCACACCTTGACTGTTGTGAATAATGATGTAATAAACATGGATCTCTTTGAGAAAGTGTTACTATTTCCTTGGATATCTGCTTAGACAATGAATTGCTGGATCATGTTAGTTCTACTTTTAACATTTTGAGAAATGTTTATACTGTTTTCCACATTGGCTATACAAATTTACATTCCTACTAACAGTTTTCAAGGGTTTCCTTTTCTTTGCATCATTGCCATCATTTGTTGTCTTTTGTCTTTTGGATAATAGCCATTCTGTCAGATGTGAGGTGGTAACACATTGTGACTTTTATTTGCACTTCCATAATAATTAGTGATGCTGATCATTTTTCTCAAATATCTCTTGGCCATTTGCAATTCTTCTTTCGAGAAATGCCAATTCAATTTACATCCTTTGCACATAAAAAATAAAAATCATATTGTTTTCTTGCTATGAAGTTGATTTAGTCTTGGTAGGTTGTATGTTTATAGGAATTTATCCATTTCTTCTACATTACTCAACGTGTTGGTGTATATTTGTTCATAGTAGTCTCATGATACTTTGTATTTCTGTGGCAATGCTTGTAATGTTTTCTTTTTCATTTCTTATTGTATTTGTTTAAGACTTCTCTCTTTTATTCTTAGCTAGTCTAGCTAAAAGTTTGTCCACTTTGTTTATCTTTTCATAAAATCAATTCAGCTTTGCTCATCTTTCTTATTATTTTTACATTCTCCATTTTGTTTATTACTGCTCTTATCTTTACTATTTTCTTTCTTCTACCAACTTTGGGCTAGTTGTTTTTTTTTTTTTTTCTAGTTTCTTACAGAATAACACTAGGCTGTGTATTTGCTGTCTTTCTTCTTTTTTGATATAAATGTTTATTGTTTTAAACTTCCCTCATAGAGCTGCTTTTGATGCATTTGATGTGTTTTGGTATGTTGTATTTTAATTTTCACTTGCCTCAAAATATTTTTAAACTTTCCTTTTAATTTCTTCTTTAAGCCATTGTTTATTTACATACATGTGTATTTTTCATATATTTGTAAATTTTCTAAAATTCCTTTTATTATTAATTTCTAGTTTTAAATCATTGTGATCAGAAATATACTTGATATGATCTCAATCTTATTAAAGTTTTAAAGATTTTTTGTGGCTTTATTTATGATCTACCCTGCAAGTGTTCTGTATGCACTTGAAAAACTGTACATTCTGCTACTGATGAATGAAATGCTATATATATGTTTGTTAGGTCCATTTGGTTTAAAGTGTAGTTCAAATCCAGTATTTCCTTTTTGATTTTCTCTCTACTCTGTCTATTGTTGAAAGGGTAGTATTGAAATCCTCTATTTTTGTATTGTAGTCTATCTTTCTATTCAGATCTATTAATATTTGCTTTATATATTTAGATTTTATATTTTTCCATGCATATATATTATTATTATATCTTCTTGATGAATTCAACCTCATATTAGTATGTAGTGACCTTTCATTTGCCTGATAGTTTTTAACTTAAAGTCTATTATTTCTTGCTTTATTTTGAACTTTTATTATAGTTTAGGGGTACATGTGCAGGTTTGTTACATAAGTAAATTTGTACCATGAGAATTTATTGTACAGATTATTTCATCACCCAGTTATTAAGCCTGGTGCCTGTATGAGTCCATTTTCTGGCTGCCGATAAAGACATATGTAAAGACTGGGCAATATACAAAATAAAGAGGTTTAATAGACTAACAGTTCCACGTGGCTGGGGAGGCCACACAATTATGGTGGAAGGTGAAAGGCATATTTCACATGGTGGCAAACAAGAGAAGAGAACTTGTGTAGCAAAACTCCCCTTTATAAAACCATCAGATCTCATTAGACTCATTCACTATCATGAGAATAGCATGGTAAAGACCTGGCCCCATGATTCAATTATCTCCCACTGGGTCCCTCCCACAATATGTGAGAATTATGGGAGCTATAATTCAAGATGAGATTTGGGCAGCAACACAGCCAAACCATATTATTCCACCCCTGGGCCCTCCGAAATCTCATGTCCTTAGATCTCAAAACCATTAATGCGTTCCCAACAGTCCCCAAGGCCTTAATTCATTTCAGCATGAACTCAGAATTCCACAATCCAAAGTCTCATCGAAGATAAGGCAAGTCTCTTCCACCTATGAGCCTGTATAATCGAAGGCAAGTTAGTTACTTCCTAAATACAATGGGGGTACAGGCTTTGGTGAAATTCACCTGTTTCAAATGAGAAAAATTGGCCAAAACAAAGGAGCTACAGGCCCCATGCAAGTCCAAAATCGCTGTCAAATTTTAAAGTTCCAAAATGATCTGCTTTCTCTCCATGTCTCACATCTGGTTCATGCTGATGCAAGAGATCGGTTCCATGATCTTAGGCAGCTCTGCCCCTGTGGCTTTGCAGGGTACAGCTTCCCTCCAAGCTGCTTTCAAGGGCTGGTGTTGACTGTCTGCAGCTTTTCCAGGTGCATGGTGTAAGCTGTCTATGGATCTACCATTTGGGGTTCTGGAAGATGGTGGGCCTCTTTTCACAGCTCCACTAGGCAGTGTCCCAGTGGGGATTTTGTGTAGTGGCTCCAGCCCCCTATTTCCCTTCTGCACTGCCCTAGCAGAGATTCTCCATGAGGGCCCCACCTCTGCAGCAAACTTCTGCCTGGACACCCAGGCATTTCCATCCATCCTCTGAAATCTAGGCAGACGTTCCCAAACCCCATTTCCAGACTTCTGTGCACTTGCAAGCTCAATATCATGTGGAAGCTGCCAAGGCTTGGGGCTTGAATCCTCTCAAGCCACAGCCTGAGCTCTATGTTGGACCCTTTTGGCTGGAGCAGCTGAGACACAGGGCACCAAGACCCTAGGCTTGTACAGGGATCCTGGGCCAGGCCCACAAAACCATTTTTTTCCTCCTAGGCCTCCAAGCTTGTGATGGGAGGGGCTTCCATGAAGACCGCTGACATGTCCTAGTGACATTGTCTTGGGGATTAACATTCAGCTCCTCCTTACTTATGCAAGTTTCTTCAGCTGTCTTGAATTACTCCTCAGAAAATTGAATTTTCTATCACATTGTCAGGCTGCAAATTTTTCAAACTTTTATGCTCTGCCTCTCTTATAAAACTGAATGCCTTTAACAGCACCCAAGTCACCTCTTGAATGCTTTGCTGTTTAGAAATTTCTTCCACCAGATAGCCTAAATTATCTCTCTCAAGTTCAAAGTTCCACAAATCTCTAGGGCAGGGGCAAAATGCCACCAGTCTCTTTGCTAAAATATAACAAGAATCACCTTTGCTCTAGTTTCCAACAATTTCTTCATTTCCATCTGAGACCACCTCAGCCTGGATTTCATTGTCTATGTCATTATCAACATTTTGTCAAAGTCATTCAACAAGCCTCTGGGAAGTTCCAAACTTTTCCACGTTTTTCTATCTTCTTTTAAGCCCTCCAAACTGTTCCAACATCTCCCAGTTACTTAGTTACAAATTTGCTTCCACATCTTCTGGTATCTTTGCAGCAGCACCCCAATACTGGCTGTATTAGTCCGTTTTCATGCTGCTGATAATGACATACCTGAGACTGGGCAATTTCCAAAAGAAACAGATTTAATGGACTCAAAGTTCTATGTGGTTGTGGGGGCCTCACAACCCTTGCAGAGGGTGAAAGGCACATCTCACATGGCAGCAGAGAAGAGAAGATAACTTGAGCATGGAAAATCCCCTTTGTGAAACCATTGGATCTCATAAGACTTATTCACCATCATGAGGATAGCATGGGAAAGGCCTGCCCCTATGATTCAATTATCTCCCACCATGCTCCTTTCACAACCCATGGGAGTTATGGGTGCTACAATTCAAGATGAGATGTGGGTGGGGTCACAGTCAAACCATATCAGTACCCATTAGTTATTTTTTTCTGATCCTCTCCCACCTCCCACCCTTCACCATCCAAAAGGCCCAAGTGTGTTTGTCCCCCTCTGTGTGTTCATGTTTTATCATCATTTAACTCACACATACAAGTGAGAACATGTGAAATTTGGTTTTCTGTCCTTTTCCTGTGTTTGCTAAAGATACTGGCCTCCAGTTCCATCCATGTCCATGCAAAGGACATGATCTCATTTTGTATGGTTGCATAGTATTCCTTGATGTATATGTACCACATTTTCTCTATCCATTCTATCATTAATGGGCAAACTCACTAGCATTTCTATATACTAACAACAGGCAAGCCAAGAGCCAAATCAGGAATGAACTCCCATACACAATTGCCACAAAAAGAATAAAATATCTAGGAATATAGCTGACCAGGGAGGTGAAAGATCTCTACAAAGAGAACTACACCACTGCTCTAAGAAATCAGAGAGGACATAAGCAAATGGAAAAACATTTGGTGCTAATGGAAAGGAAGAATCAAAATCCTTGAAATGGCCATTCTGCCCAAAGCAATTCATAGATTTAATGCTATGTCTATTAAACTACCATTGAGATTCTTCACAGAACTAGAAAAAAACTATTTTAAAATTTGTATGAAAACAACAAAGAGCCCTTATAGCCAAGACAACCCTAAACAAATGACCAAAGCTGGAGGCATCATCCTACATGGCTTCAAACTATACTACAGGGCTACAGTAACCAAAATGGCATAGTACTGGTACAAAAACAGACACATAGACCAATAGAACAGAATAGAGGACCCAGGTATATGACCACACACTTACAACTGTCTTATCTTTGACAAACCTGACAAAAACAAGCAATGAGTAAATGATTCTCTGACAAGCCACATGCAGAAGATTTAAACTGGACCCCTTCTTTACACCATATACAAAAATTAACTCAAGGTGGCTTAAAGACTTAAATGAAAAATCCAAAACTATTCAATCCCTGGAAGACAACCTAGTCAATACCATTCAGGACATAGGCACAGACAAAGATATCATGACAGAGATGCCAAAAGCAATTGCAACAAAAGCAGAAATGGACAAATAGAGTATATTTTATCAGATATTAGTATAGCTACAGATTCTCTCTTTTGACTTTTCTTTACATGGAATATGTTTTTATCTCATGTCTTGAATAATATGTTTTATGAAGATAGAATTCTTTGTTTTCAGCTCTTTTCTTGAAGCACTCTGTAAATGTTAGTCTACAGTTTTCTCATCTTCCTGGTGTGTGATGAGAAATTGTCAATAAAATTGTACTTTGCACATGTGTAATGTGCTTCTTAGGCTCCTTTCAAGATTTTTTTAAAATCTTTAACTTATTTGACTATGATGTGTTTGTGCATAGTTTCCTGTGAATTTACCCTTCTTATGGTTTGCTGAGCTTCTTGGACCTGGAAATGTATACATTTCAGAAAAATTGAGAAATTGTCAGACATATTTTCAAATATTCTTTTACAAGAGTCTCTTGCTCCTCTCTTTATATAATAATCAAACTCAAAATATATAAATGCTAGATTTTTTATATTGTCACATTGACCCCTGAAGCTTTGTTCATAATTTTTAAATCTATCTTAATTTTTGATTTTCATATAGAATAATTTCTATGGACCTTTCTGGAAATTCACTGAGTCTATTTTCTGTTATGCCATTCTGTTATCACATCTCTCTTGTAATTTGAGGGTACTTTTTAGCACTAAAATTTCTATTTGGTTCTCTTTCTTCACTGTTTTATTTTATTTAATGCAATTACATTTCTAAACATCAAGGTTGGTGTCTGATAATTGTCTTGTCCCACGGGAGTTAAGTGGGTTTTTTTTGTTGTTCTTTATATGTCAAATAATCTGAAATTGTATCTTGGACATGTTAAATATTATGTTAGGAGACTCTGTGTCCTATTAAAATTTTCTGGAAAATGTTGATTTTTTTTTTGTTTTTGTTGTTTTATATAGTAGTCAAACTGTTTAGGTTCAAACCAGAAGTCCTGACTCCCTTCTGTGGGTTGTGTTTTAAATATTTGTTTAATGTTAAATGTTTTTCCGCTGCTCTTCTGATTTGTCCTATGTTTATCCCACTTTGGGGCTAGTCTGGAACAAGTCATGTATACTGTGCTCTAGTTCTCAAAGTTTACCTATGTTTATTCCAGTTATTTCTATGCATGTTCAACTTAAAGACAAGTTCAGGACATTATATACATATTTAATGTATCTATTCCTCTCATACCTTTTTTTTTTCAATGATTTCCCTCAAACTATCTAGTTTTCAGTGATTCGATTTCTTGATGGTCTGATTAAAAAGCCAAGGATATTTCTTCTCACAGCTGTCATACCCCTTTTGGAAATACATACATTTGTGGGAAAAGCAGCAAGATAGAATCTTTAGTGCTTTCATGCCCACTGCCACCCCGCTATTGCTTCGCCTTCATTACTGGGGCTCACTTGAGGGAGTTCTAGGAAGTTAACAAAAATAAAACAAAACACAAAAACTATTCTCACATGGGACACCATATATAGTTTTCTTACTAAAGACAAACTGTTTTAGTCTGTGCTATTTCTGTTCATTCTTTATTGTCATTTTGGGAGATATGGTAGTCTGCACTGGACAATATGAGAGATGAAAGCTAATCAAAACAAAAATAAAACTTAACAAAACAACAAAAACACAGGTAACTTACTCCCATATAATCACACAATTTTCATATTTCTATCCAGTCTGCCTGTCCTTATTCTTTTTTTTTTTTTTTTTTTTTTTTTTGAGACGGAGTCTTGCTCTGTCACCTAGGCTGGAGTGCACTGACGCAATCTCGGCTCACTGCAAGCTCCGCCTCCCAGGTTCACACCATTCTCCTGCCTCAGCCTCCCAAGAAGCTGGGACTACAGGCGTCTGCCACCATGCCCGGCTAATTTTTTTGTATTTTTAGTAGAGACGGGGTTTCACCGTGTTAGCCAGGATGGTCTTGATCTCCTGACCTCGTGATCTGCACGCCCCGGCCTCCCAAAGTGCTGGGATTATAGGCGTGAGCCACCGCGCCCGGCCCCTTATTCTTATTTTTTAAGATTTTCAATAATTGCTTTTAGTATTTTGTCCAGAGATTTTAGTTATAATCTGATCTATGGGAGATAAGATAGAGTGTGTTTACTTCATGTTAATAAGAACCAGAAATTTATAACATCACATGCACCTCAAACTGTCAAGATACGATTTTTAAAGTTGTTTAACTGGGTTTTTGAAAAGTAATTGTTATTGTCATAAGTCAAGAGAAATATTAGCAATGATGATAACCAGTTTCACCTAAATCTAGGTGCTACCATTTCCAAAATAGAAAAGCAATGTCGAAGTATGCACAACTAGGTAACAGTGCTATAAAATAAATTTTAACATTTTATTAAATCATAAAAGCTGTTTCTAAATATACATTAATATTGAAACATAAACAGCTGCTTGAAAATCTTGTATTTTTACGACGGTATAAATTGTGACCTCTGCATTGTGGCACAGATGCTGGTGGATTTGTGAAATTGCCCAGAATCAAAAATAAAAAAAAAGAAAAGAAAAAGAAAAAACAGAAATCAAAACAGAAAGATGAGTGGTTCAAGCAAGATAGCAGAACAGAAGCCCATGTCATTCATCATTCCCATTGGAACACTAATTTTAACAAAGATCTGCACACAGAAAACCACCATCATTAGAATCAAAATCCAGGTGAGCAATCCAAGTAATGGTTTTAAACTCATATTCATATTACTGAAAAAAGCATTACAAAGGGGAGGAGAAACAGTCTTGACTGTCCAATGCCACCCCTCCTCCATCCACTGGCAGTAGCTGAGCTATACAGAGAGAGAATCTGTGCACTTTGGGAAGAAAGGGTACAGAAAATGGGGAAGTTTACACTGAACTCAGTGCTGCCTTGTCACAGTGGAGAATATAGTTACACTGCGCTCAGCCAGCACACACACGGTAGCCAGTGGGGAATCACCCATCCCAGTGGTCAGAATTTGAGTTTCTCAGCAAGCCTCACCACTGTATGCTAAAGTTCTCTGGCATCCTAGGTAAACTTGAAAGGCAGTCTAGGACACAAGGACCACAATTTTTAAACAACTCTTAGTTCTAAGCCAGGCTTAGAGCCAATGAAGTAGGGTGGCACATGATGTTAGGAGAAACCAAATGGTGCAGCTAAGGGTATATTTGGAACATCCCTTCCACAACTTCAGACAGTAGAGTTCACAGCCATGAACTTGACTCATTCCTTTTGCTTAAGGAGAGAAGAACAAAGAGTAAAGTGGGCTTTGTTTTGTGTCTTGAATACCAAGTCAGCCACAGTAAGATAGGGCACAAGGTAGAGTCATGAGGCCCCCATTACAGGCTCTAGCTCCTGAAAAACATTTACAGATTGTATTAGTTCATTTTCATACTGCTATGAAGAAACACCAAAGAATGGGTAATTTATAAAGAAAAAAATTTCAATGGAATCACAGTTCCACATGGCTGGGGAGGCCTCAAAATCATGGCAGAAATTGAAGTAAGAACAAAGACACATCTTTCATGGTGGTAGGCAAGAGTGTGTGCAGGGGAACTACCCTTGTAAAACCATCAGATCTCCTGAGACTTATTCAGTATCACGAGAACAGCACAGGAAAAACCCACCCCCATGATTTAATTACCTCCCACTGGACCCCTCCCACCACATGCAGGGATTATGGGAGGTAAAATTCAAGATGAGATTTGGGTGGGGACACAGCCAAACCATATTATTCTGCCACTGGCTTCTCCCAAATCTCATGTTCTCGCAATTCAAAACACAATTTTGCCCTTCCAACAGTCCCCCAGTGTCTTATCTCATTTCAGCATTCATTCAAATGTCCACATTCCAAAACCCCATCTGAGACCAAGCAAGTCTCTTCCATCTATGAGCCTGTAAAATCAAAAGCAAGTTAGTTACTTTGTAGATACAATAGGGGTAGAGGCATTGGGTAGATACAACCATTGCAAATGGAGGAAATTTGAAAAATGAAGGGGCTACAGGCCCCATGTGAGTCCAAAATCCAGTGGGGCAGTCAAATCATAAGGCTGCAAAATGATCTCCTTTGACTCCATGTCTCACAACCAGATCACACTGATGCAAGAGGCCATGGCCTTGGGCAGTTCTGCCTCTGTGGCTTTGCAAGATACATCCCCCCTTTTGGCTGCTTTCACAGGCTGGCACTGAGTGTCTATGGCTTTTCTAGGCACATGGTGCAAGCTGACCGAGGATCTACCATTCTGGGGTCTGGAGGATGGTGGGCCTCTTTTCGCAGCTCCACTAGGCAGTGACCCAGTGGGGACTCTGTTTGGGGGCTCCAAACCCACATTTTCCTTCTGAACTGTCCTAGCAGAGGTTCTCCATGAGGGTTCCACCTTTGCAGCAAATTTCTGCCTGGATATCCAGGCCTTTGCATACATCCTCTGAAATCTAGGTGGAGGTTCCCAAACCTCAATTAATTGACTTCTGTGCACCTGCAGGCTCAACACCATGTTGAAGCTGCCCAGGTGTGGGTCTTTCACCTTCTGAAGCCACAGCCTAAGCTGTACCTTGGCCCCATTTAGCCATGGCTGGAGCATCTGGGATGCAGGGCATTAAGTCCTGAGGCTGCTAACAGCAGTGGGGCCCTGGATCCAGCCCAGCAAACCACTTCTTCCTCCTAGGCCCTTGGGTCTGTAATGAGAGGGGCTGCCACGAAGGTCTCTAACAGGCCCTGAAGAGATTTTTCCTATTGCCTTGGCAATTAGCATTTGGCTTCTCATTACTTACGCAAATTTCTTCTGCCATTTTGAATTTCTCTCCAGGAAATGGGTTTTTCTTTTCTACTGCATTGTCAGGCTACAAATTTCTCAAACTTTGATGCTATGCTTCCTCTTGAACATTTTGCTGCTTAGAAATTTATTCTCCCAGATACCCTAAATTATCTCTCTCAAGTTCAAAATTCCACAGGTCTCTAGGGCTGAGGCAAAATGCCACCAGTCTATTTTTATAGCAAGAGTAACCTTTGCTCCAGTTCCCAATAAATTCCTCATCTCCATCTGAGCCCACCTCAGCCTGGACTTTATTGTCCATATCACTATTAGCATTTTGGTCAAAGCCATTCAACACTTCTCTAGGAAGATCCAAATTTTCCCACATCTTCCTGTCTTCTGATCCCTCAGAGTCTCTAGGGGGTTCCAAACTTATCCACATTTTCCTGTCTTCTTCTGAGCCCTCCAAACTCTTTCCACTGCTGCCTGTTACCCAGTTCCAAAGTTGCTTCCACGTTTTCGGGTATCCTTATAACACTACCCCACTCTACCAGTACCAAGTACTCTATTAGTCCATTTCTATACTGTTATGAAGAAATACCTGAGACAGGGCGATTTATAAAGAACAAAAGGCTCAATGGACTCACAGTTTCACATGGCTGGGAAGGTCTCACAATCATCACAAAAAGCAAAGGAGGAGAAAAGGCATGTCTTACATGGATGCAGGCAAGAGCGTGTGCAGGGGAACTGCCCTTATAAAACCATCAGATCTGCTGAGACTTATTCATTATCATGAGAAAAGCATGGAAAAAAACCGAACCCCGTAATTCAATTACCTCCCACTGGGTTCCTCCCACAACTTGTGGGGATTATTTATGGGAGCTAAAATTCAAAATGAGATTTGTATGGGGACACAGCCAAACTATATCATAGACCACACTGGTACAAAAGGGAACCTGCTGCTTTGAAGGGAAGGATCCAGTCCTTGTAGGATACAGCACTTGCTGAATAAAGAGCCCTTGGGCCCTGAATAACCAGAAGAAATACCTAGTGAGTACACCATGGGCCTTGGTCTCTGAGATATGCTGGCTTCATGGGTGACCCAGTATACTCCTAGATGTAGTTGCTGTGATGAAAGCTTCCTTCTGTTTGGGAAAATGAACAGAAAAAATTAAGGGGGATTTTGTCTTGCACCCTAGGTAGCAGCTCAGCCACAGTAGGGTAGAGCAACATGCAGGTTCTTGGGGTCCATGCCTCTGGGCCTGGGCTCTTGGACAGCATTTCTGGACCTGCTCTGGGCCACAGAGGAGGCCACTGGCCTGCCAGAATCCTTCCTGGATAGGTGGCATTAGTGGCCACAGAGAGAGGCTCCTCTGGCTATGTAATGTGGATGGAAGAATGGGAAGGACTTCATATTGTGATTAGAGTGCTAGTTTAGCCACAGTAAAATAAAATACCACGTAAATTGCTAAGGTTTTTTAGACCAACCCCTGGTTTCCGGACAGCATATCTGGACATGCCCAGGGCCTCGGGAAACAGGCTGCCTTGACAATAAGGGCCTTGGGTAAGGCCCAGTGCTGTGCTAGCTTCAGATCTGACCAAGCACAGTCTGTTGTGGTGGCTACAAGGGTGCTTGCATCATCACATCTCCAGTATCAGGTGGCTCAGTGCAGAAAGACTCTATTTCTTTAGGAGAACATAAGCACAAAGAAGAGTCTTTTCTTGGTAATCCAAAGAATTCTTCCACATATTATTCAAGACACCAAGGTGGTACCTCTATGATTCTGCAATAGCTAGTTTTATTGGGCTTGGGGCCCAAGTCCCTTTGAATACATAAAAGCCTTCCCAAGAAGAGCAGGTATTAACAAGCCCAGACTGTGAAGACTACAATAAACATACAACTCTTCAATGCCCAGGAACCAATGAATATCTACAACCATTAACACCCAGTAGAAAATCTTGACCTCACCAAATGAACTAAATGAGGCACCAGGGACCAATCCAGGAGAAACAGAAATATATAATTTTTCGGACATAGAATTCAACATACCTATGTTGAGAAAACTCAAAGAAATTCAAAATAATACAATGAAGGAATTCAGAATTTTATCAGGTAAATTTAACAGAGATTGAAATAATTAAAAACAATCAAACAGAAATTTGAGAGTTGAAAAATGCAAATAACATGGCAGAAAATACATCAGAGTCTCTTAGTAGCAGAATTAATCAAGCAGAAGAAAATTTAGTGAGCTTGCAGACAGAGTATTTGAAAACACAGTCAGAGGAGACAAAAACAGGAATAAAAAACAATGAAGCATGCCTAGAAGACATAGTAAACAGCCTTCAAAGTGCAAATCTAAGAGTTACTTGCCTTAAAGAAGAGGTACAGAAAGAGATAAAGGTAGAAAGTTTAATAACAGATAACTTCCCATACCTAAAGATATTGAAATTCAAGTACAAGAAGATTTTGGAATACCAAGCAGGTTTAACTCAAAGAACACTACTTCACACATTTAATAATGAAACTTGCAAAAGTCAAGGATAAAAAAGGATCCTAAAAGCAACAAGAGAAAAGAAACAAAGAACATACAGTGGAGCTCTGATACATCAAGCAGCAGAGTTTTCAATGGAAACCATACAAGCAAGGAGGAAGCACCATAACATAAAGTACAGAGGGATAAAAAACTATTGCACTAGAACACTATATCTTGCAAAAAAAAAAAAAAAAAAAAAATCCTTTAAGCATGAAGGAGAAAGAAAGACCTTCCTAGACAAACACAAGCTGAGGGATTTTATCAACAACAGGCCTGCCCAGAAGAAATTCTAATGGAGTTCATAAATCTGGAGGAAATGGATGTTAATAAGCAAGTAATCATCTGAAGGTACAAAGCTGACTGTTAATAGTAAGTACACAGAAAAAAACAGAATAATATAATGCTGAAATTGTGGTGTGTAAACTTCTCTTAAGTAAAAAGACTAAATGATTAAAAAGTTAAAAATAATAACTACAGCAACTTTTTATGACAGTACAATAAGACATAAAGGAAAACAAAAAATGTTATAAAGTGGGAGCATAGTTAAAGTGTAGAGTTTTTATTAAAATAATAAAAAAGGTTGGAGCTGAAACAAAGAAAAAAGTACAAAAGATCAATGAAACAAAAGTAGATTTTGTAAAATCATAAAATTGACAAAACTCTAGCCAGTCTAAGACAAAAAGAGAATAACCAAATAAAAATCAGAGATGAAAAATGAGACATTATAACAGATACCACAGAAATTGAAAACATCATTTCTGGCTACTCTAAGCAACTTCTAGACACATACAGCCTACCAAGATTGACCTGTGAAGAAATCCAAAACCTGAGCAGACCAATTACAAGTAATGAGATTAAAGCCATAATAAAAAGTCTTCCAGTCCATAACAGCCCAGGGCCTAATGACTTTACCAATAATTGGAAGAAGAATTAATATTAATTCTACACAAATAATTCCATAAAACTGAGGAGGAGGGAATACTTCCAAACTTATTCTACAAGGCCAGTACTACACTGATACCAAAACCAAACACACATCAAAAAAAGAAAACTGCAGGCCAATATCTCTGATGAATAATGATGCAAAAAATCCCCAACAAAACATTACCAAACTGAATTCAACAATACATTAAAGATATGATTCATCATGACCAAGTGGGATTTATCCCAGTGATGCAAGTGTGGTTCAACATATGTTATCAATCAATATGACACATCATAAAAACATAATGAGGAACAAAAACCATATAATCATTTCAATTGATACTAAAAACACATGGGATAAAGTTCTACATTTCTTCATGATAAAACTCTCAAGACACTGGATATAGAAGGAGAATACCTGAACAAAATACAAGCCACATATGTCAGACCCACATGTAGTATTATTCTGAATGTGGAAAAACTGAAATCCCTCCTCTTAGATCTGGATCATGACAAGGATGCCCACTTTCACCAATGTAATTCAACATAGTACTGGAAGTTATAACTAGAGAAATCAGACAAGAGAAAAAAATAAAGAGCATCTACATTGAAAAGGAATAAGTCAAATTATCCTTGTAGGTTGATGATATAATTTTATACTTGGAAAATCCTGCAAACTCCACTAAGAAAACTATTAGAACCCATAAACATATTCAGTTAACTTGAAAGACATAAAACCAACAAACAAAAATTAGCAGCAATTCTATATCCCAACAGTGAACAATCTAAAAAAGAATTAAAAAATTAATCACATTTACAATAACCACAACTAAATTAAATACCTAAGAATTAACCAAAGAAGTGAAGGATCTCTACAATAAAAACAATAAAATGCTGATGAAAGACATTGATGAGCACACACAAAAAAATGGAAAGATATTCCATGTTCATGGATTGGAAGTATCAATATGTTTAAAATGCCTACACTATCAAAAGCAATCTGCAGATTCAATGCAGTCTCTATTAAAATACCAGTGATGGCTGGGCATGGTGGCTCACACCTGTAATCCCAGCACTTGGGGAGGTCGAGGCAGGCGAGTCATGAAGTCAGCAGATGGAGACCATCCTGGCTAACATGGTGAAACCCCGTCTCTACTAAAAATACAAAAAAAAAAAAAATTTAACCAGCCATGGTGGCATGCACCTGTAGTCCCAGCTACTGGGGAGGCTGAGGCAAGAGAATCACTTGAACCCAGGAGGCGGAGGTTGCATTGAGCCAAGATAGTGCCACTGAACTCCAGCCTGGGTGACAGAGAGAGACTCCATCTCAAAATAATAATAATAATAATAATAATAATAATAATAATAATAATAATAATACCAATGACATTTTTCACAGAAACAGGGAAAAATATCCTAAAATTCACAAACAATGAAAAAAGACCCAGAAGAGCCAAAGGTATCCTGAGCAAAAAGGAAAAAACAAAACAAACAAACAAACAAAAAACAGAGGAATCACGTAACTGAACTTCAAATTATACTACGGGGTGTAGTAAACAAATGGCATGGGACTGGAATAAAAAATACACACATAGATGAAGGGATGGCCTGCCCCTGCACACCTGTGGGTATTTCTAGTCAGGTGGGACGAGAGACTGAGAAAGAGAAATAAGACACAGAGACAAAGTATAGAGAAACAACAGTGGGCCCAGGGTACCGGCACTCAGCATACAAAGGACCTGCACCAGCACTGGTCTCTGAGTTCCCTCAGTTTTTATTGATTATTATTTTCATTATTTCAGTAAAAAGGAATGTCGTAGGAGGGCAGGGTGATCATAAGGAGAAGGTCAGCAACAAACATGTGAGCAATAGAATCTACGTCATAATTAAGTTCAAGGGAAGGTACTATGACTGGACGTGTACGTAAGCCAGATTTATGTTTCTTTCCACCCAAACATCTCAGCAGAGTAAAGAATAACAAGGCAGCATTGCCGCAAACATGTCTCACCTCCCACCATAGGGTGGTTTTTCTCTTATCTCAGAACTGAACAAATGTACAATCAGGTTTTATACCGAGACATTCAGTTCTCAGGGGCAGGCAGCAGACAGTGGCTTTCCTCTATCTCAACTGCAAGAGGCTTTCCTCTTTTACTAATCCACTTCAGCACAGACCCTTTACGGGTGTCGGGCTGGGGGACGGTCAGGTCTTTCTCATCCCACGAGGCCATATTTCAGACTATCACATGGGGAGAAACCTTGGACAATACCCAGCTTTCAAGGGCAGAGGTCCCTGCGGCTTTCCGCAGTGCACTGTGCCCCTGGTTTATTAAGACTAGAGAATGGCGATGACTTTTACCAGGTATACTGCTTGTAAACATTTTGTTAACAAGGCATGTCCTGCACAGCCCTAGATCCCTTAAATCTTGATTTCATACAACACATGTTTTTGTGAGCTCCAGGTTGGGTCAAAGTGATTGGGTCAAAGTGGCTGGGGCAAAGCTACAAATTAACAACATCTCAGCAAAGCAATCATTTAAAGTACAGGTATTTTTCAAAATGGAGTCTCTTATGTCTTCGCTTTCTACATAGACACAGTAACAGTCTGATCTCTCTTTCTTTTCCCTACACATAGATCTGTAGAAAAGAATAGAGAACCCATATACAAATCCACAGACCTACAGTGAACTAATTTTTGACAAAGGCACTAAGAATATTCATTGGGGAGAAGACAGTATTTTCAATACATGTTGCTGAGAAAACTGGGTATCCATATGCAGAAAAATAAAACTTGACCCCCATCTCTCACCTTAAAAAATCCAAGGAAAATGTATTAAAGCCATAAATCTAAGACCCCAAATTATGAAACTACTAAAATTATACACATTGGGAAAACTCTCCAAAACATTGATTTGGGCAAAAATGTCTTGAGCAATACCCCACAAGCACAGGCAAACAAAACAAATATGGTTAAATGAGATCACATCAAGTTAAAATGCTTCTGCAGGGCAAAGGAAACCATTAACAAAGTGATGAAAAAACCCACAGAATGAGAGAAAACATCTGCAAACTACACTTCTGACAGAGGATTAATAACAAGAATATTTAAGGAGGTCAAAAAATTACATAGGAAGAGATCTAACAATCCAATATAAAAATGGGCAAAATATTTGGATATACATTTCTCAAAAGAAGACATCAAAATGGCAAACAGTCATATGAAAAAGGTGCTCACCATCATTTATCATCACAGAAATGCAAATCAATATTACAAAGAGACAGTATCTCACCCCTGTTAAAATGGCTTTTATCTATAAGTCAACCGATAATAAATGCTGGCAAGAATGTGGAAACAAGGAAACACTTGTACACTGTTGGCGCGAATGTTAATTAGTATAACCACTATAAGAAACAATTTTAAGGTTTCTCGAAAAACTAAAAATAGAGCTACCATATTATCCAGCAATCCTACGGCTGGTTATATACCCCCTTCTCCCCCCCAAAAAAAGGAAATCAGTATATTGAAAACATATCTGCAATTCCATGTTTTTTGCAGCTCTGCTCACAATAGCCAAGATGTGAAAGCAACCTAAGTGTCCACCAGCAGATGAATGGATGAGGAAAATGTGGTACCTACATACAATGGAGTACTATTCAACCATAAAAAAGAATGAGATATTGTCATTGCAACAATATGAATAGAACTGAAGATCATTATCTTAAGTGAAATATGCCAGGCACAGAAATACAAACACTGCATGTTCTCGTTTGTGGGATCTAAAAATCTAAACAATTGAACTAATGGAAATAGAGACTAGAAGGATGCTTACCAGAAGAGTAAGCTGGGAAGGGTAGTGGAGGGGTAGGGAGAATTTGGAGATGGTTAGTGTGTAGAAAACAATAATTAGAAAGAATGAATAAGACCTCATATTTGATAACACAACAGGATGATTGTAGTCAGTAATACTTTCACTGTAAATTTAAAAACAACTAAAAGACTTTGATTGGATTGTTTGTAACACAAAAAATAAATGCTTCACGTGATGGATACCCCATTCTCCATGGTGTAACTATTATGCATTGCATGCCTGTACCAAAATATCTCACATGTCTCATAAATATAAATATATACACCTGATACATACCTACAAAAATTAAAAATAAAAACAACTTAAAAAGAATGATGTCAAAACTAATTTCAGGAGAAACAAACAACAGAAGTGTATGTACTTTCTGAAAAGAAAGAAATATACTAATTGTATGGATTCTGAATTTTAGTCTTAGGAGCAAGATGGCAGAATAAAAGACTCCACAGACCATCCCTTGTACAAGGACATCGGTTTAAAAATTGTTTACACAGAAAATAAAAAACACATTCATAAGAACCAAAAATCAGGTGAGGCCTCATAATACTGAGATTTAACTCTGTATTGCTGAAGGGGACACTGAAGAAATAGAAAAAACAGTCTCTTGAATTATTGACGTCACCCTCACCCCACCACCTAGCAGTGGCAGCTTGATGCAGAGTCTCTCTGGGTGCTGGAAGAGGGAGAACACAGAAATTGTGAATCACTGAACTTGGTGCTGCCCTGTTAGAGCAGAAAGGAAAGCTGGACCAAACTCAGCTAATGCCTGCCCAAGTAGGGAGCATTTAAAGCAGCCCTAGCCAGAGGGGAATCACCAATTCCAGCAGTTGGAACTTGAGTTCCCACAAGTCTCTCCACTGTGGTCCAAAGTGCTCTTGGTCTCTAAGTCAACTTAAAAGGGAATCTAGGCCATAGGGACTGCAACTGTTAGATGAGACCTAGGGCTAAACTGGGCCCAGAGAGAGTGGACTGAAGAGGGCATGAGACCTACTAAGACACTGCTTGGGGAAGGTAAGGGAGTGCTGGCATCACCCCTCCACTGACCCCAGGCAGAAGAGTTCAGGGCTCCAAAAGAGATTTCTTTTTCCACTTGAAGAGAGGAGAAGAAAGAATGGGGAGGATGTTGTCTTGCATCTTGGCTACCCAGCGCAGGCACAGTAAGATAGGGTACCAGTCAGAGTAATGAGGCCTCTCTTCCAGGACCTAGCGGCCAGAGGACACTTATAGACACACTCTGGGAGAGAAGGGAAGCCACTTCTGTCCCAGAAGAAAAGGATCCAGTCCTGCCAGCATTTATAACCTACTAACTGAAGAGCCCCTAGGCCCTGAATAACCAACAATGATACCCAGGTACTATAGCTAGGGCCTTGGCGAGCCCCTGAGACTTGCTGGCTTCAGTTGAGACTCAACACATTACCAGCTCTGGTGGCAAAACTTCTTTTGCTTGAGAAAAGAAGAGGGAAAAGTAGAGGGGACTTTGTCTTGCATCTTAGGTACCAGCATGGACATAGGGTGCCAGAGCATCAAGTGGGCTATTGGGGGTCCACAATTTCAGGACTTGACTCTTGGACAGCAACTCTGGACCTGCCCTGAGACAGAGAGGCCCACTCCCCTAAAGGGTGAGTTCCAGGCCAGACAGCACTTACCAAAAGCTGACTGAAGGGCCTTTGGGCCTTAAGGGAATATTGGTGGCATCTCGCGGAACTCCCCGTGGCCTGAGATGGCAGTGGCTACAGAGAGAGGCTCCTCTGCCTTTATAAAGTGGAGGGAAGATTGCGAAGGACTGCATCTTGTGGCTTGGGTGCCAGCTCAGCCACAGTAAAACAGAAAACCAGGAAGACTTCTAAGATCTTTTACTCTAGTGCCTCACTCCCAGGCAGCACATCTGGATTCACCTGGAGCCTGAATGAATGAACTTGCCACCATGAAGGGAAGGAGAATGGCCTGGCTGGCTTTGCCACCTGGTGATTGTAGAGCACCAGGGCCTTGAGCGAACATAGGCAGTAGCCAGGTCGTGGTTACAGCAGAACTAGGGCAAGATCCAGTGCTGTGCTGACTTCAGGTCTGATCCAGCATAGTCACAGTGATGGTGGCCACAGCAATGCTTGTGTCTCTCCAACCCCAGCAATGGTGTTTCGGAACAGACAGAGAGACTCCATTTATTTGGGAGAAAGCAAGGTAAGAGAATCAGATCTCTGCCTAGTAATCCAGAAAATTCTTCCGGATCTTGTCAAACACCATTAAAATAGTGCCTCTATGGATGTGAAAGAACCACAGTGTTACTGAACTTGAAATGCTCACCAAAGCAGCTACAGCTAAAATCACAACATGCAGCTGGGTGCAGTGGCTCACGCCTGTAATCCTAGCACTTTGGGAGGCCGAGGCGGGTGGATCACGAGGTCAGGAGATCGAGACCAACCCAGCTAACATGGTGAACACCCCATCTCTCCTAAACATACAAAAAAAAGAAAAAAAAATAGCCGGGTATGGTGGCGGGTGCCTGTAGTCCCAGCTACTCGGGAGGCTGTGGTAGGAGAATGGTGTGAACCTGGGAGGTGGAGCTTGCAGTGGGCCGAGATCGTGCCACTGCACTCCAGCCTGGGTGACAGAGTGAGACTCCATCTCAAAAAAAAAAAAAAAAAAAAAAATCACAATATGCAAATTCTTTCAAATATCTGGAAAGCTTTCCCAAGAAGGGCAGATACAAACAAGCCCAGACAGTGAAGATTACAATAAATACCAAACTCTTCAATGCCAAGACATCAAAGAACACCTACTAGCATCAACACTATCCAGAAAAACACGATTTCACCAAATAAATAAAACACCAGCAAAAACACAAATCCTGAAAAAGGCACAAATACGTGAGCTTTCAGACAGAGAATTCAAAATATCTATGTTGAGAAAACTCAAAAATACTCAATATAACACACAGAAGGAATTTAAAATTCTATAAGATAAATTTAACAAAAAGATTGAAATAATTAAAAAAATCAAGCAGAGGTTCTGCAGTGAAATGTTGGGATTCACTCAGGATGGTGGCAGAAATATTAAAGGGAAATATTAAGGAAAGTTGCAGGAATAGTCACAAACCTTTTGTTTCTTTGTTGATTTTATGTTTGGAAAGGCTGAAAGGTTACCTATCTTGTAATAATTGAATAGGCTGAAGGCAGCTGGTTCTTACCTTAGAGCATTAGGTCATAGGGTAAATACTAGGGACGATAGAGGCTTCCCCAGTTATGTCTATTTATCCTACCTGCATTAACTAACCTTTGAGCCAAATGGCCCTGGGGCGGGGGAGGTCGACTAGGGATATTGCCCCCTAATGGTATTTACCTTCAACAGAGGTACCAGAGCTTTAATCATTCCTAGAACTACTCTCTTAACCATGTTAATTCTCCACAAGTGTGTTGACTCAGAGCGTCTGTTGTTAATTGTATACTAAATAAATGCCCTGAGTGCGAGCTGCTCAAGGCCAGCCACATTGACAATCCTTTCTTGGTGCGCAGGTGGTCGGACATGCAGCAGGACTGGCAAAACAGAGTATCTGTGTGTCAGTGTATGTTTTATTCATCTGTCATTTGGGTCAGGGTCTGTGGGCAGATGCCAGCAGCTAATGCCTTCTTGTGAGGAGCAATACCTCCGTTAAAAAGGCAATTAGCTACTGGAAAATGATCAGAGATGAAATCAGAAAATCAGAAAATGATTTTAGCTGTAGCTGCTTTGGTGACTTTTAATAACAGAACTGAGCTAATAGAAGAAAAAATAAATGAGCTTGAATACAGGCTATTTGAAAATACATGGTCACACGAGATGAAAGTAAAAGTAATAAAACAACAATGAAACATGCTTATAGGATCTAGAAAACAACCTCAAAAGGGCAAACTTAAGAGTTATTTCCTTAAAGACAGGGGAAAAGAAAGAGATAGGGGTAGAAAGTTTATTCAAAGGAATAAGAACAGACAATTTTGTAAATGTAAAGTATCAATATCTGAACACAAGAAGGTTATAGAACGTCAAGCAGATTTAACCCAAGAAGACTACCTCAAGGCATTTAATAATCAAACTCCCAAAGACAAAGGATAAAGAAATGATCCTAAAAGCAACAAGATAAAAGAAACAACATGCAATGGAGCTCCAATATGTCTGGCTGGCAGGAGACTTTTCAGTGGAAACCTTAGAGGCCAAGAGAGACTGGTTTGACATATTTAAAGGGCTGAAGAGAAAAACAAAACAAAACAAAACAACTTTTACCCTAGAAGAGTATGTCCAGGGAAAATATCCTTCAAAACCAAAAGAGGAATAGCAACTTTTCCAGAAAATCAAAAGCTGCTAATGTCATCAACCCCAGACTTTTCATACAAGAAATGCAGAAAGGAGTACTTCAATCAGAAAAAAAAGAATATTAAAGAACAATAACTAATTATCTGACGATGCAATACTCACGGATAGTAATAAGTATACAGAAAAATACAGACTATCATTAACACTGTAACTGTGGTGTGTAAAATACTCTTATCCTAAGTAGAAAGACTAAATGATGAAGTGATCCAAAATAATAACTACAAGAACTTTTCAAGACATAGTATAATAACATGTAAACAGAAACAACAACAAAAAAACTAAAAAGTGGGTGGACAAAGTTAAAGTGTAGAGTTTTTCTTAAGTTTCTTTTTTTCTTATTGTTTCATTATACAAACAGTGTTAAGTTGTTATCAGGTTAAAATAATGGGTTATAAGATAGTATTTGCAAGCCTCATGGTAAACTCAAATAAAAATATACAATTGATTATGAAACACAGAAAAAGCAAGAAACTAAATCATATCACCAGAGAAAAATCACCTTCACTAGAGGAATAGAGGAAGGAAAGAGAAGAAAGAGAAGAGCATATAAAACAACTAGAAAAATAATAAGAAAATGGCAGGATTAAGTCCTTACTTATCAATAATAACATTGTATGTAAATGGGCTAAACTCTCCAATCAAAAGACATACACTAGCTTAATCGATGAAAAAATAAAATCCATTAACTGATGCCCACAAGAAACATGCTTTACCTCTAAAGACACACAGACTGAAAATAAAGGGATAAAAGGAGCTATTCCATGCCATGAAACCCAAATACGAGCATAATTAGCTATATTTATATCAGACAAAACAGATTTCAAGACAAAAACTACAAGAAGAGACAAAGAAGGTCACTATATAATGGCAAAGAGGTCAATTCAGCAAGGGGATATAACAATTTTAAGTATATATGCATCCAACAGTAGAGCACCCAGATATATAAAGCAAATAATGTTAAAACACAAGACAGTGATATACCCCAATGCAATAATAGCTGAAGACTTCAACAGCTCACCTTCAGCATTGAACACATTTTCCAAACATAAAATCAACAAAGAAACATAAAACAATATGCACTGTAGATCACATGGTTCTAAAAGATAGTTACAGAACATTTCATTCAACAACTGTGGAATACACATTCTTTCCTCAAAACATGGATTATTCTCAATGTTAAACCATATATTAGGTCACAAGTCTTAAATCATTCAAAAATATAAATAATATTAAGCATATACTCTAACCACAATGGAATAAAACCAATGGAAATTAATAACAAGAAATTTTGTAAGTGATACAAATACATGTAAAATAAACAATATGCCACTGAATGACCATTGGCTCCACAAAAAATTAAGAAGGAAATTAAAAAATTTCTGGAAACAAATGATAATAAAAACAAAATATAACAAAACCTATGTGATAAAAGAGAAGCAGTACTAGGAGGAAATTTTATAGCTATAAATGCCAACACCAAAAAAGAGGGAAAACTTCAGATATACAATGATCCAAGCTAAAGAACTAGAAAAGCAAGAGCAAGCCAAACCCAAAATTAGTAGAAGAAAAAGCAATGAGAAAGGTGAGAGCAGAAACAAAAGAAATTGAAATTTTAGAAACATACCAAAGATAAATAAAACAAAAAGATTAGTCCAGGCACAGTGGCTCATGCCTGTAATCCTAGCACCTTGGGAAGCCAAGGCAGGCAGATCAATTGAGGTCAGGAATTCAAGACCAGCCTGGCCAATATAGTGAAACCCCATCTCTACTAAAAATACAAAAATTAACTGGACATGGTGGTGGGTGCCTGTAATCCCAGCTACTAGGGAGGCTGAGGCAGGAGAGTCTCTTGAACCCAGGAGGCAGAGGCTGCAGTGAGGCAAGATTGCACCACTGCACTCTAGCTTGGGTGACAGAGTGAGACTCCATCTCACAAAAATAAAAGTATGTTTTTTTTAAAGTTAAACAAAATTGACAAACCATTAGCAAGAGTAACTAAGAAAAAAAGAGAAGATCCAAATGAATAAAATCAGAAATGAAAAAAGTTACATTACAACTGATACTGTAGAAATTGTACAGAAATTGTACAAAAAATCACTACTGTCTACTATGAGCAACAATCTACTAAAAACTTGGAAAAGCTAAAAGAAATTGACACATTCCTGGACACGTACAACCTACCAAGATTAAACTAGGAAGAAATCCGAAAGCTGAACAGACCAATAAAATGCAATGTGATAGAAGGCATAATAAAAATTTCCCAGTAAAAAACAAGCCCTGGACTTGATGGTTTCACTACTGAATTCTACCAAAATATAAAGAAAAACTAATACTAATCCTACTCAAACTATTCCAAAAAATAGAGGAGGAGGGAATACTTCCAAACTCATTCTATGAGGCCAGTACTGCCTTAATACCAAAACTAGACACATATTAAAAAAAGAAAAAAAAGAAAGAAAACTATTGGCCAATATCGCTGATTCATATTGATGCAAAAAATCCTCAACAAAATACTAACAAATGAAATTCAACTTTACATTTAAAAAATCATTCATCATTACCTATTGGGATTTATTCCAGGGACTAAAATGTGATACACTGTGTCAACAGAATAAAGACTAAAAAACACATCATCATTTTTTAATTAATGCTGAAAAAGCATTTGATAAAATTCAACATACTTTCATAATAAAACCCTCAAAAACTGGGTATAGAAGAAACATTTCTCAACATAATAAAAGCCATATATTACAGACCTACAGGTGGTATCAAACTGAATGGGGGAGAAACTGAAAGCCTTTCCTCTAAGATTTAAAACACAACAAGGATGCCCACTTTCACCAGTGTTATTCAGCATAGTCCTGGAAGTCCTAACTAGAGTAATCAGGCAAAAGAAGGAAATAAAGGACATAAATCGGAATAGAAAAGGTCAAATTGTTTTCAAATGATATGATTTTATATTTTAAAAAACCTAAAAACTACACAAAAAACTATTAAAATTGATAAACAAATTCAGTGAATTTGCAGGATACAAAAATCAACGTACAAAAATTAGTAGTATTTCTCTCTGTAAACAGTAGAGTCTGAAAAAGAAATAAAAAAGCAATCACATTTATGATAGCCACAAATACAATTAAATACCTAAGAATTAACAAAAAAGTAAACTATGTCTATAGTAACAACTATAAATCACTGAAAAAAGAAATTGAAAAGCATACTAAAAAATATTCCATGTTCATGGAGTGGAAGAATCTATATTGTTCAAATGTCCATACTACCCAAAGAAATCTACAGAATCAAAGAAATCCTTATCAAATACCAGTGAAATTCTTCACAGAAATAGAAAGAAACTATCCCAAAATGTATATGGAACCACAAAAGACCCAGAATAGCTAAAGCTATTCTAATCAACAGAACAAAACTGGAAGAATCACATTACCTCACTTCAAATTATACCACAGAGCTATAGTAAGAAAAATGACATAGTCAGGTGTGGTGGTGGGCGCCTGTAATACCAGCTACTCACGAGTCTGAGGCAGTGGAATCGCTTGAAGCCAGGAGGCAGAGGTTGCAGTGAGCCAAGATCACGCCACTGCACTCCAGCCTCAGCATTAGAGCGAGACTCCGTCTCAACAACAACAACAACATCAACAAAAAGAATAGGTAAAATATTTGTATAAATATTTCTCAACAGAAACATACCTACCAAAGAAAAATAGGCATATGAAAAGTTACTCAACATTATTGATCATCAGATAAATGCAAATCAAAACTACAATGAGATATCATCTCACCCTAGTTAAAATGGCTAATATCCAAAAGACAGGCAATAATACATGCTGGCAAGGATGTGGCGATAAGGGAAGCCTCCTACACTGTTGGTGGGAATGTAAATTAGTACAATCACTATGGAGAACAGTTTGAAGGAAAAAACTAAAAACAGAGATATTATATGACCCAGCAATCCCACTGCTGGGTGTATACCCAAAAGAAAGACAGTATATCAGAGACTTATCTGAACTCCCATGGTTGTTGCAGCACTGTTCACAATAGCTATGACTTGGAAGCAACCTAAATGTCCATTGGCAGATGAATAGATAAAGACAATGTGGTATATATACACGGTGGAGCCCAGTGGAGTACTATTCAGCTATAAAAAATAATGAGATTCTGTTATTTGCACCAATGTGGATGCAAATGGAGATAATTATGTTAAGTGAAATAAGCCAGGCACAGAAAGATAAACATTGCATGTTCTCACTTGCTTGTGGGATCTAAAAATCAAAATAATAGAAATGGACACAGAGAGTAGAAGAATGGTTATCAGAGTCTGGAGAGGGTAGTGGGGGGCTGTGGGGGAGGTGGAGACAGTTAATGGATCCAAAAAGTATAGTTAGAATGAATAAGAGAGATTATTTGGTCGCACAACAGAGTGACTTTAGTCAATAATAAGTTAATTGTACATTTTAAAATAAGTAAAATAGTATAATTGGATTATTTGTAACAGAAAGGATAAATGCTTGCGTAAATGGATAGCTTATTCTCCATGATGTGAATCTTATGCCTTGCATACTTGCATGAAAACATCTCATGTACTTCACAATTATATACATCTACTGTGTTCCCACAAAAATTAAAAATTAAAACATTAAAAACATGAAACCTAGAGAAAGACTCTTACAACATTCATTATTGATTGCTTCAGGGAAAGACATCTTTTAAGAAACTTTCATCTCAGCATTGTTCTTCAGTTACTCAAGGTTGAATTGAGCTTTTATCTTGCAAAAATGAGGAGACAACTTTCTGATCTAGCTGTATAATTTATTTAAAATCTCAAGAATCATACACATATCAAAACATTGCACTGATGTTGATCTATTATGCAAAAAATGCATTGTACCCCATAAATATATACAATTATTTGTCAATAAAAACAAAATTTTAAAAATCTTAGAAACCAACTTATAATTGCAGAGTTCTTTTGCTTAAAGAAATAGCAATTAATGACTATTTCGAGGACACATATAGGTAAGGAGGCAAATTCCTGTTTGTCTCATTTCACTTACAAATGATCTCATGACTTTTATAAGCAAATGACTTCGAAATGTCTATGTGATTATAAACATTGAATCATATCAATTTACCATTTGACTTGTAATTCACATTTTATTAGGCTTTACAAAATTAAGCAATTATTATTCTGTCCTAAATTAGTATGCTAATTTTGTGATATTATGGCTTGAAGTTTTCACATAATTTTTGTTGGAATTTTTTTTGTTACCCAATTTATGCAAGTATTATTTTATTGGCTGTATTTTTTTTTATCATTTTGGCTTACACCTTTTGCAATTGTTAAAAAAATGTATTGGATTATACTCTATTTTTGTTTCTGCTATATTGATTTGACTTATTTCCCTCGGGGACACTAACTAGTTGTAGACTGGATCTATTGTTTTTGTCATATTTTCTCTCATAATTTTCAGTCATTTTCTCTGCATTATGAGAAAGTGTCTTTAGTTTGCACTAAATGCCTCGGCATCATAATCATTTTGATTTTCTAAATGTTGGTTTTCCTCAACTGTTTATCTTGTGAATTTTAGTTTTGTTACAGGTTTTAGTTTCTACACAGCCTCCCTGTATACATTTCTTTTCCTTCTCATTTGTCACATTTTTCACAGTATAAGTAATTTCATGTATTTACTAGAGACCAGAACATGTAGTCCATTTTTTAATTTTCTTTTGTAAATAATTTTGATAATTCTTATTTTCTCTTAAGAGGTGATTCTTTTATTAATGTTATGGGATCTTTTTATGGATTATATATTGTTGTTTTTCAAAATGTTGACTCATACTTGAATAAAGGAAAATATATTTAATATATTTAAGAAGCAAATAGTTTATTTATTGAGGTCTCTATTATTTGATTACATTGCTAGAATATCTTTCTCAGTGTTTAACCTGGAAGCTAGGTTGACATGAAAAATTTTATTCAAATATTCAGTATGTATTTGTCTAGTTGTCTAGTTAAGCTCTGATGATACAGGCAGGCCAATTTCTCTGTCCTCTCATTGCCTAATCTTGAAATTACACAGAGATCTCCTTATTCTTTGTCTCCCTGGGTTAAATTTTCTGGCTTACACTGGCTGTGTGACTTCAGGTGAGTCATTTAACCTTGGCAAGTTTTCCCTACCCTTTGCCAGATTATTTTAGAGACACCATATTATTTATTTTTTATAATTTTTGTGATCAGAGTTTATAAAATATTTTTTCTCAACTTTTATTTTAGGTATAGGGAGTACCTGTGCAGATTTGTTGCATGGGTATTTGCACCCAAGTAGTGAGCATAGTATCCAATAGGTAGTTTTTTTTAAACCATATGCCCCTCCCTCCCCAGACTACTAGTTAGCAGTGTCTATTGTTCCCATGTTTATGTCTCTGGCTGCTCAATGTTTGGCTCCCATTTGTAAGTGTGAACATGCAGGATTTAGTTTTCTCTTCCTGTGTTCATTGGCTTTAACCTCCAGCTCTATTCATATTGCTGCAAATGACATGATTTTATTCTTTTATATGGCTATGCAGTATTCCATGGTGTATATATACCACATTTTCTTTATCATCCACCATTAATGGACATCTAGATTGATTCCGTTCTTTGGTATTGTGAATAGCAAAGCAATTAACACATGTATGCATGTGACTTTTGATATAATTATCTATTTTCCTTTGAGTACATATCCAGTAATGGGATTGCTGGGTCAAACAGGAGCTCTGCTTCAAGTTCTTTGAGGAATCGCCACACTGATTTCCCAATGATTTAACTAATTTATACACTCTCACCAACAGTGCATAAGTGTTTCCTTTTTCTCTTCAGCCTCTCGAGGATCTTACTTGTTATTTTAATTTCTCAAAAATAGCCATTTGGAGTGGTGTGAGATGGTATATCGTTGTGGATTTGATTTGCATTTCTCTAATGATCAGTTATGTGGAACATTTTTATATGTTTGTTGGCTGTTTATGTCTTTTTTGAGAAATGTCTGTTCATATCCTTTGCCCATTTAATGGTGTTTTTTTTGCTTGTTAATTTGTTTAAATTTTGTATAGATTCTTGATATTAGTCTTTCGTCAGATGCATAGTTTGTGAATATTTTCTTCTATTCTGCAGGTTGGCTGTTTGCTTTGTTGATAATTTATTTTGCTGTGCAGGAGCTATTTAGTTTAATTAGGTCCCACTTGTCAATATTTTTTGCTGTAGTTTCTTTTGAAGACATAGGCAAAAATTCTTTGCCAAGGCTGATATTGAGAAGGGCATTTCCTAGGTTTTTTTTGAATTTTTATATTTTGATATTTTTCATTTGAATCTTTAATCCTACCTGAGTTAATTTTTGTATATTGTAAAAGGTAAGGGTTCAGTTTCATTCTTCTGTATAGCCACTTGTCACAACACCATTTATTGAATAGGGAGTCCTTTTCCCATTGCTTGTGTTTCTTGGCTTGTCAAATATCAAATGGTTGCGTGTGTAAGGCTTTATGTCTGGGTTTTATATTCTGTTCCATTTGTCTATGTTTCTGTTTTTATACCAATACCAGGCTATTTTGGCTACTATAGCCTTATATACTATGGTTTGAAGTCAGGTAATATGATCCCTCTAGCTTCGTTCTTTTGCTTAGGATTGCTTTGTTTATTCAGGCTCTTTTTTTGGTTCCATATGAGTTTTTGAATAGCTTTTCCTAATTCTGTGATGAATGACTTTTGTAGTTTGATAGGAATAGTGTTGAATCTGTAAATTGCTTTGGGCCATATAGCCATTTTAATCCATAAGCACGGGATATTTTTCTATCTTTTTGTGTCATATCTGATTTCTTTCAACATGTTTGTGCTTCTTGTAAAGATCTTTAAGCTTTTTGATTATGTGTACTGCTAGGTATTTCATTTTATTTCTGCCTAGTATAAATGGTATTGTGCTCTTGATTTAACTCTCAACCTGGACATTATTAGTGTATAAATATACTACTGATTTTTGTACATTGATTTTGTATAGTAAAACCTACTAAAGTCATGTAACAGTTCTAGTAGCCTTTTGGTGGGGTCATTAGGCTTTTCTAGTTACAGAATCTTATCTCCAACAAAGAGAGATAATTTGTCTTCTTTTTTTTTTCCAATTTGGATGTCTTTTAATTCTTTCTCTTGCCTGATTGCTCTGGCTAGGGCTTCCAGTACAATGTTAAAGTAGGAGTGGTGGGAGTGTAGGAGTGGTGAGAGTGGGCATCCTTGTCTTGTTGCAGTTCTTAAGGTAGATTGCTTCAGCTTTTGCCCTTCAGTATGATATTGGCTTGCCATATATGGCTCTTATTATTTTGAAGTATGTTCTTTTGTTGCCTAGTTTGTTGGGTCTTTTTATCATGAAGGGATAATGGACATTATTGAAAGTTTTCACTTCTTCTATTGAGAGAACATATGATTTTGTTTTTAATTCTGTTGAGGTGGTGAATCAGTTAATAATTTCCATATGTCAAAACAATCTTGCATTCCACAAAGAAAGCCTTATTGGTTGTGATGTATTAACATTTTGATGTGCTGCTGAATTTGGTTTGCTAGTATTTTGTTATGGACTTTTTTATCTGTGTTCATCAGAGATACTGGCCTCAAGTTTTTTTTTTTTTTTTTTTCATTGTGTCTCTGCCAGATTTGGGTATTAAGCTAATGCTGGCTTCATAGAATCAGATAGGGAGGAGCCTCTCCACCTCGATTTTTTTGTAATAGTTTCATTAGGATTGGTACCAGTTCTTTTATGTCTCGTAGAACTCAGCTATGAATTTGTCTGGCCCAGGACTTCTTTTGGTTGCCAGGATTTTTATTGATGATTTAATTTCAGGATTCAATTTTGGTCTATGCAGGTTTTAAATCTTCCGATTCAATTTTGTGAAAATGTGTGTTCTAGAAATTTATCAATTTCTTCTAGATTTTCTAATTTGTGTGCATAGTGTTGTTAAATAGCATTCTATGAAGATCTTTTTCAACTATATGGGATCAATGGTAGTGTCATCCTTATCATTTCTGATTATACTTATTTGGATCTTCTCTCTATTTTATTTGTTAATCTAGCTGGAAGTTTATCAATCTTGTTTATTTTTTTAAATCTACACTTGGTTTCATTAATCATTTGCATGAATGCTTGCATCTCAATTTAATTCAGTTCTTATTTTAATTATTCATTTTTTTCTTCTTGCTTTGGTATTGGTTTTTGTGTGTTTTTTTTTTCCTCTAGTTACTTTAGGTACAAAGTTAAAACATTAATTTGAGAGCTTTCTAGCATCCTGATGAAGGCATTTAGTGCTATAAATTTTCCTCTTAACACTGCCTTAGCTGCATCCCAGAGGTGTTGGTAGATTGTGTTCACATTTTGATTAATTTCAAATATTTTGTATTTCTGCTTTAATTTAAATGTTCACTCATTAGTTATTCAGGACGAAGTTGTTTAATTTCCATGACTTTTTGTCATTTTAAGATATCATCTTGATATTTATTTTTCTTTTTATTGCACTGTGATTTGAGTGTGCTAGGTATGATTTTAATTTTTTCAATTTACTGAGATTGAACATGTGATTGATCCTATAATACATTCCATGTGAAGATGAGTAGAATATATATTCTGTTGTTGGTGGGTGGTGTGTTCTGT
This sequence comes from Homo sapiens, assembly GCF_000001405.40. Lineage (NCBI taxonomy): Eukaryota > Metazoa > Chordata > Mammalia > Primates > Hominidae > Homo > Homo sapiens. The sequence goes on along the minus strand of NC_000024.10, from coordinate 4,618,765 downwards.
AGATGTCTATTTTGTCCAATTGTTCAAGTCTTAAATTTAAGTCCAGAACTTCTTTGTTAGTTTTTACCTCAAAGATGTCTCTAATGCTGTTGGTGAAATGTTGAAATGTCCCACTGTTATTATGCATTTGTCTAGGCATGCTGGGTTTGTGAAAGAGAGCCTGGCCTCCCTAACTGCCAGGGCTACAAAAACTTGCACCAGGGTGCTTAGGGATCCAAGTCCTATGGGGCTCCATGAGGGCCTGAGAAGTGGCTCTGCCCAGTTTCCATGCAGCTGTCTCTCCATGTTTGTCTGGGGGTCCAGGGGGTCAGTTAGGATCTCTTATGCCTAAGATTACAAAGGTTTATAGCAGAAGTGTGTGTCCCTTGGGCCTCTTGCTCACTCACCCATTCCCCACAATAGGGAGCCTCCCCATGCTCCATGCCAATCTCAGGTGGGCAGCCTCACTCCTCTCTGTCCTCCGTGGGTCACCATTGCTTCCTTCAGGAATCACAACATGGCCTCCTGGACAATCCACTTGAACACTAGAGCTAGTATTTATGCACCACTCTATCTCCTCTCTGTGACAGTGGTACACACTAGCTGCTTCTAGTCAACCATCTTGGCACTTTCTTCTATATTATTTTATCTGTAATTATTTCTGTATGTTTCTCTAAAATACAAGTGTTTTTTAAAAACATAAAATATCCTATTATTATACTTGAAACACTAAAAATAACTTCTAAATATTAACAAATATCCAATCAAGGTTCTTATTTATCTTATTTTGTTATATTTTAAAATGATTTTTTAGTTTATAGCCAAATCAGATCAATCAATTTGATTGTTGATGTATATTCCAAGACTTCAAATATTTACCTTCTCTCTCCATCTCTCTTTTCTCACTCCCTCCTCCCTCTATCCCTCTCTCTTTTTCTCTTGTTTTACTGAAGTAACCCAGTTGTTTTTATTGGGTTTTCCAATGTCTAAAGTTAGCCTCCTTATAATACTGCCTCATGTGTTTCTCTCTGCCTTGTATTTCTTGTCATTATTAGATTTGGCTGACAAGTTTGACTATTTCACACACACACACACACACACACACACACACAGAGACATTATATTTAGCTATTTGTATAGGGCAAGCACAGCTACACAACAGGGACATTATGTGAACAAAACACTCGCTTTTTCTCAACTAGTACTTGGTAATACTGAGGCACTGAGTGCATAGAAAAAGCAGAGTAATTGCTTCTTTGTCTTAATTGCAGTGCAGGATTTCAAAATAATGAGGTGTTGCCTAAAATCCTTCACAAGTGAACAATGAGGCTTTTAAAAAATATATTATGAGCTAATAGTCTTGACAATATTTGACATACTTAAATCGCTTTCAATTATTACTCTTTTTGGTAGTTAAGAGAACTTCTCATATTTTTCCAGTGGGAATTTATCCAGGTTGGCTCTTAAGACCTTTTCTAACATAACTCTAGTGGTTTTTGATCATTTCTATGGTTTCTGGAATGACAAGGTATTTCAGGTTCACCTTATGCACCTTGTGCCCAGAGCCTAAGTACTTTAGAGTCTAAACAATACAGCTATGGTATCTTCTCTTTATTTTGCTACCATAACTCAACAATCTCCTGTGTAGTCTTTCATTTTTTTCAATGACTCAAGGACTCTTCAGAATCTTCCTTTTACTTCTTCCTATGTTATTATCTCTGGGGACTAAAACAGGTCATGCTCATAAACCCGATAACATTTTTACCATTTAATTAATTTTAAAAAGTATTATTTCCTATTACTTTATCTTTCACTTCTGACACTACAGAGCTAGAACTTAGATTTTCGTACTATTCACCATCTCTCTATCTGTAAGATTTTCAGTCAATTTTTCATGACTCGTACAGCACATTACAAGCCTTATGGCCTTTGTTTTCATTCCCCACGGAAATGTTCCCAAGCCATTTCTTTTTTTCTTAAATTCCCAATCTGACCTGTCTTCATCACTTTTAGCACATAATCCTTCTACAACTTTTCTGAGACAATAATATGTTTGCGCATCAGTGTTTTGGGCACACTTCCATTACAACATTTCCATGCATTTTCCTTCAATATGCTCTTTTCTGTTTCTGAGGAATAATTGGACTTATACATTGTGAGAATTAATTATGTTCTCTTGTTCCTCTCTGTCTTCACTTCTTTCAGGATCTACTTTATCTATTAACAACTATTTCTCTTGTCCTGTTAGTCTTTTTCAAATACTGATTATTTTAAAAACATTTCATTCGGTTGCACAACACTGCACTAGCCATGTTCTCCTTCCACTTCACAATTGTTTCACATTTGATGCCTAATTCTTCTGCTTTCTAACTATAATTATTAACCAAGGCATGACTTTGGTCAATTTCTTTATATCCTTTATGTTTTATAGTTTTATCTAAGAGAGGCAGCATTTTATAGTTAACAGAAAAGGCTCTGGATCCAGAGTATTTGAGCTTGAATACTTGGGCTCCACTGTTTTCTATATGTAAAACATTGGGCTAGATACTTATTCTCCCTTTGCTTGAGGTTTTTTTTTTTTAGTTAACTATTAAATGGAGATAACAATTATTATGAAATCAAAGGTTTGTTTAAGATTAAGATTATATGAACCAATACATTTAAAGTGCTTATAACAATGTATTGGTACGTAGTAAATGATTAGTAATCATTATTATTAGTTATCATGATTTAAAAAGTAAAAAGGACGGTTGGGTGCAGTGACTCATGCCTGTAATCCAAGCGCTTTGGAAAGCCAAGGCAGGAGAATTGCTTGAAACCAGGTGTTTGAAAAAAAATTTAAAAGGAGTGTGGCAATGGCAATATCACACAGAATATGGCAAATGCAATATAATAAGTATTAAAAAGTTATAGAGAAGGGCAAGATGTAGCAAAGAGGAAAATCAAATTCTAATCTGGGATGGTAGGGAAGACCTTAAAAGAATCCAATGCCTGAACTAAAATTTGAGAAACAAATAAAAACTTTCAGTTGGGTAAGGAGATGAAAACTATTTCAGAATGAAAGGAGACCATGTGGATGAGGACAGCATATTTAAGCTGCCGGAAAGAAATTGTTCTGCTTGAAACCTGCAGAGAGGAACAGTGGAGGGGCAGGGGATAAATACGCCTAGTAAGATAGGCAGGGCCAGATCCTAGTGTGCTTTTTTAAGGTAAGGGACTGGGCCTTAAATCTATGTAAAAATTACCAGTAATTGTTATCTTTAATTTTGATCAATATTTATTCTTACATTTCCAACTTCCTCTTTCAGGCCTTAAGCATTCATAATTGAACTACTTATTATATTAGCTTAATAATCAGTCTTGCTTTGTTCAACCCTTCCTATCAACCAATCCCATTCTCATTATAATTCTTCCATGTTCAAATATGTTCAGTAGCTTTCCTCTAAGTAATATGGAAGGTCCAAATCCCATGATCTAACCTCAGCCTAACTATCCAACTTAACTCTCTCTAGCCTCTATTGAAAAAAAAAAAAAATTCCTAGAAGTGTTCTGTGTTTTTATACTTCTACACTACTCCACATGCTTTTCTTTCTCCCTAGAATAATATTCTCTCAACTCCCTCTGGTGAAATTTTACTTATCCTTAAAGCTATATCTATCTATATGCTGATTTCATCTACTAGAAAACGTCAGATTCATCTACATTTATTAGGTCCCTTCTCTGTGCCAGGCACTGTGTTAAATATTTCCACATACTATCTATTTCAATATTCATGCAAGTCACTTAGCGAGGCATTGTTTTTCCTCTTCTACATAACTTAAGTCTAAGAATCAAGGAAGTAAATGGTTAAAAATGCACTCAAGTTCACACAGTTACTAATTGTAGATTCCAGGTTCAAACCAATGTCTTCTGTTAGAGCTTGCTGACTCGCTACCTGAATTCACTTGTGAATTTTGCCATAGCATATTCTGTAACACACTATCTGCGTTTTTTATGTTTTTATTTGTGTCCAACTTTGATATCTACCACAATACACAGCACCTTGTCTCATACATATTTCTTATCAGTATAAATCCATGCAATGTAAGCAGAAATTAATTAACAAAACAATCTTACTTCCCAATTTCATGTGATCTTACTCTCTAATCGACTTAGATGTAGAGAAGCAGGAGCAGAAACAGCAAATATTGGTGCCCCATCCTCAATTCAGTGCAAATGACATTGTCCAGCGGGAAATTGTGAAAGTAAATGAAATAATGCCTGAGAAGTACCAAAAACTTTTCATTTGAACGGTGCTATATACACTCAAGGATTTAAAAAATATATATTGTGGATATTAAACCTAGTTAGAAATTACTTAAATTTATATTGAGAAGTCTTTACTGAGGAAATTAGTATCATAATCCAGTCACACATGATAAAGGATATGAGCCAATATTTAAACAGTCTGGTCCATTTACTGGACACAAGGGTGCCATTGATCTAAAGACTACATTTAGTGAATATAATACCCTTAGAGTTAGTGGCTGTAATTTTCTTGAGTTCATAAAATTTCATTTGGCCAATATTCAACTCTAACCACATAAGTCAGTGTACTTAAATATGCTGGGCCAGTAAGTCAGCAGGCCTTCACCAGTGCTAATTTTGCTCTCTCTCATTTTAAATTAAATTTTCTTTAAGCTTAATCAATTGATTTAGCAAATTTAAGACCACACATTAAGAAGCAGAGTCAGTATGAGGCTAAAAAAGTCTGATAGAGTTAGAGCATTAGTTTTTCTCTCAAGGATAGTTAAATCAGCTGCTGAAAACCTTTAAAACATCTAGAAAGCAAAACTTTATATTCAAATGCAATGGGAAAAACCTCTGTCATTATTATGTGTAGGATACAACTCATTTCCTCACGTTTTAAACATGTTCCTTTATTTCATGTCCCCAAAGGCTTATATATACTATGCTGATTTTTTAGTTATCAGGAATTTAATATTAGTCCTTTTACATTTTAGCTTTCACAATATGTTTGAGGATCACTGAATTGTATATAAAATTTAGCTGCTTTTCTCCTGATTGAATAATAAATAAAAGTTACAGCAGAATATCTAACCTATGGGGGCACAAAACAATGAGTAATATGTTCTCCACACGCAGTATGTGATTAGAAATAATATTATAAATAGTATTATGTGTGGTACATTCTGTTGAACCCTGATAAAGAAGTGGAATGATTCATTATCTAGTTTAAAGGCGTAAATTAATGGGAAAGATTAAACTATAACTCTGAATGGCTGAGAATATAACAAGAATAGAAGAGAAACAATAGACTAATAAAATGGAACATGAAGATATATTTAAAATAGAAGTTAAAACTTTGGAATAAAATTATTTGTCTTAGTTCAGGTCACTTAAACTCTCTGAACCTGAATCTGTTCATCTGTGAGGATAATAATTACTGTATTACAAAGATTTGAGCACTAAATGAAATTGCTGTGAAGGCCCTTGGCATTGGTAAATAATGACATTACCATGTCTGCTTTTTAATTTTTGAAATTATGTATTACGCATTTTAAAACTCTTAATATCAATCTTTATGTCACATTAAAGTACACTTTAAGAGAATCCATTCTATTTACATCTTAAGAATTGCTCTTAGTAATACATTTCCTTCTGTAAATACTAGCCTAGAAGTTACATATGTTTTCTTCTGTAAAATCTAAATATTGAAAATACACAAATATTCTTTATAAATATTAAAGTTTTAATATTAAAAGCTATTAAAATATATATGTACTTTTTTATACTTTTGATGAAATATATTCAAATTGGACAAATTTTCAGTGGCATAACATTTCGTTTTAATTTTTTTATCATTGAGAATGAACAAAAGTCAAGACTGTGATAAACATGTAAAATAGGAAAGTAAAGTTCAGTTTTTTGTAGGGGCCAAGATGGCAGACTACACACAGCCAGGAGGAACATCTGTCACTGAGGGACTGGGACATCCAAAAGACTGGTACACTATGAGCAGATCTTCAGAGAGAAGGCACTGAGAGTGGATGGAAATAGGGCCCACTTGCTGGGATGAAGAGGGAGGTAGCTGGGACCCCTAAAGGAGGCTTCCATACACTGGGACTCATTACTGGCCCCCGACAAATCCTGGGGAAGGGATGAGTTGAGGAGGTGTGAAGTAACCCCCTCTCACCAGGGACCTCTGGAATCCTGGCAGCAGGATACCCACAACCCCTACAGACACTTGAGATGCCAGGGAGAGCTTCTTAGAAAGGTGTCAGGGGCAGGATTCCAGGCTATTCAGAGCCCAAACAGTTTGGTACAGGAATGTCTGCAATGGAGCAAGGCCAGGGATGCCCATCCCCTCAATGCTCAACAAGCTTCCCTAGGAGAATTTAGTCATGGGGGAACTATTGGACCTGATCAGAGCAGGGGGAGTCTCGCCTGTGAAATGGGCCCAGTCAGATATAATCAATCCCTTGTCTTCTGGCTTCTCCCAGGGCACCAGCCAGGCTGCACTTGCTTGCAGTACAGCCTTGGATGCCCAACCAGGGTGCCTACCGGGAGCCTGCATTATAGCTCTTTCACTGGAAAACTCCACCTGACTGTTGCAGAGCTCCAGCAGAGCAGCCCTAACCAACACACAGCATCCCCACCTGCACCACCTCCCGTAAGATCCTCCCCCAAGCAAATTTGCGAGCATGCATTTGCTGATAGCTACTGCCCCATCACTTTGCTGTCTCCAGTGCACTCATGGGTGGACCTTGCCTCCTCTCCCCACTGGTGTACGTGTGTGCATGCACCCCATTATGCCACTGCTGCCAAAATGAGCACACCCCCGCAACCCTTCTGCCATTGGAGGAGCAAACTCAGGCACAGAGGCAAATGTCCTCATCCCCCATCTCCACCCCATGCTGCCACTGCCGCTGCTGGTGTGAACATGTGCATGGAGGCTGGCAGCCTTGAACTCTGCCAGTGTCCTGCATCTGCACCAACATGGCTGCCAGAGTGAACATGCACATGGACACCAGTTGCCCCATCCTCTTCACTCTGGTTCACACTGCCACTGCTGCTGCTATGAACACAGACATGGAGGATGGAATCCCCATGCATGCCAGAGCCCTGCCCCATTCAACAAGCATGCAAGCCACTGCACTGCCACTGCTGCTGTCATGGGCAAATGAGCCTGGACCCCACTGCCACTGCCCCAGTGAAGCACTTTTTCTGACACCACTTATTGGAGTATTTTAGCCAGAAGTCCAGGAACTCTTTGGTACTTCCAGTACAGTAGGTTCCTAATTTCGAAGTGCTGGAGAACATAGCTAGTGAGTTGTCCCATACAAGTCTTCCAGTGGTAGCCCAGGAGTGCTGAACTGAGCTTTGGTCCCCTAAAATCTTCCAGAAACAAAACCATTCAACTGAACTCATTTTATTCCACAATCAAACCCCCAGGGGCAACAAAGAAGATAAAAGCAAATAAACTAATTGGAAGGACAGTACATTCAAAGATTGAAGGACCATAACCCACACAGATGAGAAAGAACCAGTGCAAGAACTCTGGCAACTCAAAAAGCCAGCGTCTTCTTACCTCCAAATGATCACACTAGTTTCCCAGCAATGGTTCTTAACCAGACTGAAATGGCTGAACTGACAGAAATAGAAATCAGAAAACAGATGGGAATGAAGATCATTGAGACACAGGAAAAAGTTGAAAACCAATCCAAGGATTCTAAGGAATATAATTAAATAATACAAGAGATGAAAAAGGAAATTGCCATTTTGTAGGAACCAAACTGATATGACAGAGCTGAAAAACTCAGTTAAAGAGTTTCAAAATAAAATCTCAAATGCTAACAGAAGAATTGATGAAGCTGAGGAAAAAAAATCTCAGAGCTTAAAAACCAGATCTCCAAAGTAACTCACTCAGACAAAAATAAAGAAAAAACAATATAGAAGAATAACAAAGCCTTCCAGAAACATGAGATTACGAAAGGAGACCAAATCTACAAACTCATAGGTGTCCCTGAAAGAGGAGAGGAAACAAGCAACTTGGAAAACATATTTGAGGATATTGTGCATGATATATTCTCCAACCTCATTAGAGATGCCAACATTCAACTACAGGAAAAGCAGAAAATCCCTGTGAGGTACTACTCAAGAAGACTGTATGCAATACTCATAGTCATGAGATTTTCCAAGGTTGAAATGAAAGAAAAAATGTTAAAGTCAGCTAGAGAAGGGGAAAGTCACCTACCAAGGGAACTGCATTAGACTAACAGCAGGCCTTTCCACAGAAACTCTAGAAGCCAGAAGAGCTCGTGTACCTATATTCGACATTCCTAAAAAGAAAATTCTCACAATTTCATATCCAGCAAAACTAAGCTTCATAACCAAAGGAGAAATAAGGTCCTTTTCAGACAAGCAAATGCTAAGGGATTTTGTCACCACAAGAACAGAATATACATTATTCTCAGCTGCACATGGCACATACTCTAAAATAATCCACACAATCTGCCATAAAACAATCCACAGCAAATTCATAATAACTGAAGTCATACCAACTGTACTCTTGGACCATAGCACAATAAAAATAGAAAACAATACTAAGAAAATCACCCAAAACAGCACAATTTTATGGAAATTAAACAACCTACTCCTGAATGACTTTTGGGTACACAATAAAATTAAGGCAGAAATAAAGAAATTATTTTAAACATATAAGAACAAAGATACAACGTAACAGGATCTCTGAGACACAGTCAAAGCAGTAAGAGGGAAGTTTCTAGCACTAAATGTTCACATAAAAAAGTTAAAAATATAACGAATTAACAACCTAACATTACACCTAAAGGAACCAGAGAAACAACAGCAAACCAACCCCAAAGCTAGCAGAATAAAATAAATAACCGTAATCAGAGCTGAACTGAAAGAAATTAAGAGGTGAAAACCACACAAAACATAAATGAATGCAAGATAGTTTTATATAATGAATAAAATAGACTGCTATCTAGACTAACAAGAACAAAAAGATCTAAATAAACAAATTCAGAAATGAGAAAAGGGGACATTACCACTGACCACACAGAAAAAAAAAAAAAATCAGAGAGTACTATGAACATCTCTATGCATGGAAACTAGAAAATCTGGAAAAAAATGGATAAATTCCTGGAAATGTACAACCTCACAAGATAGAACCAGGAAGATATTCAATTCCTGAACAGGTCAATAATGAGTTCTAAAACTGATTCAGTAATAAAAAGCAGAATATCCAGAAACAGCCCGAGACCAGATGGGTTCACAGCCAAATTCTATGAGATGTACAAAGAAGAGCTGGTACCATTTCTGCTAAAACTATTTCAGAAAATTGAGAAGGAGGGACTCCTTCCTAACTCATTCTATGAGGCCAGCATCATCCTGATACCAAAACCTAGTAGACACACAATTAAAAAAAAATTTAGATCAATATGCTTGATGAATGTGGATGCAAATATCTTCAACAAAATGGTAGCAAACCTAATCCAGCAGAACATCAAAAAGCTAATCCATTCTGGTCAAGTAGGCTTTATCCCAAGTATGCAAGATTGTTTCAACATATTCAAATAAATAAATGTGATTCATCACATTAACAGAGCTAAGAACAAAAACCACATAATCATATCAATATATGCAGAAAAGGCTTTTGATAAAACTCAACATTCCTTCATGTTAAAAACCATCAACAAACTAGACATTAAAGAAATATACTTAAAAATAATAAGAGCCATCTATAAAAAAAACTACAGCCAACACTACACTGAATGGGCACATGCTGGAAGCATTACCCTTGAGAAACAGAAAGACAAGGATGCCATCTCTCACCCCTCCTATTCAACATAGTACTGGAGGTCTTAGCCACAGCAATTAGGCCACATAAATAAATAAAAGGCATTCAAATATGACGACAGGAAGCCAAACAATTCTTGTTCACAGACAATATACTTGTGTACCTAGAAACCTCATAGTTTCTGGGCAAAAGTGCCTTGATCTGATAAAAAACTTCAGAAAAGTTTTGGGATACAGAATGAATGTACAGTAATCAGTACCATGCCTGTACAACAGCAACATCCAAGCTGAAAGCCAAATCAACACAATTCCTTTCACAATAGACACAAAAAGAGTAAAATACCAAGCAATATAGCAAACCAGGAAAGTAAAATATCACTATAATGAGAATTATGAAACACTGCTTAAAGAAATCAGATAGGACACAAACAAATGGAAAAACATCCCATGTTCATGGATAGGGAGAATTAACATTGTTAAAATAGTCATACTGCCCAAAGCAATTTACAGATTCAATGGTATTCCTATCAAACTAACAATTACTTACTTTACAGAATCAGAAAAAAAAACATTTTAAAATTCATATGGAACAAAAAAAGAGCCTGAATAGCCAAGGCAATCCTATGCAAAAAGAACAAAGCTGGAGTCACCATATTACCCAACTTCAAATTATACCATAAGGCTACAATAACCAAAACAGCATGACCCTGGTACAGTAAAAGATGCATACACCAGTAGAACAGAATAGAGAACCTAGAAATAAAGCCTTACACCTACAACTATCTGATGTTCAACAAAGCCAACAAAAATAAGCAATCAGGAAAAGGACTCACTAGTTAATACGTGGTACTAGATAACTGGCTAGCCATATGCAGAAGATTGAAACTGGACCCCTTCCTAACACCATATAAAGAATCAACTCGAAGTGGAATAAAGACTTAAATGTAGCACCTAAAACCATAAAAACCCTAGAAGATAACTTAAGAAATACCATTCTAAGCATAGACCCTGGGAAAGATTTCATGATGATGAATCCAAAAGCAAATGCAACAAAAACAATAATTGACAAATGGGATCTAATTAAATAAAAGAGCTTCTGCACAGCAAAATAATTGTCAACAGAATAAAGAGACAACTTAGACGATAGGGTAAAATATTGGTAAACCAAGCATCTGTCAGAGGTTCAATGTCCAGAATCGACAAGGAATTTAAATTAACAAGTGAAAAACAAACAGCCCCATAAAATACCAGGGAAAGGACATGCGAAGACACTTTTTTATTTTTTCAGATTTATTGAGGTATAATTAAATTATACAAATATACAAATAAAAATTGTATATAGTTACAGTGCAAAACATGATTTTTTTTAATTTCCAACTTATATTTTTAAGTTCAAGGTTACTTGTGCAGGATGTGCAGGTTTGTTAGATCGGTAAACGTGTGCCATGGAGGTTTGCTGCACAGATCATCCCATCACCTAGGTATTAAGCTCAGCATCCATTAGCTATTCTTCCGGATGTTCTCCTTTCTCCCACACACCCCCCACCTTCTGGCAAGGCGTCAATAGCGTTGCCCTAGGTTACAAAGGCAGAGGGGCTCCCCAACAGTTTGGCAGTCAGCAGATTGTCACAGGGGTGAGGGGAGCAAAGAAGCACTCCCACAGAACCTTTCCATGGGGCTCTGAGTTCCCCAGGGGTTGATCTCGGCTAGACTCTTGCTGCTTCCCTTTTCTGCATCTGGGCTTCTTCCTGTAGGCTCTCCAATAGGCCCTGGGTCTCTTCTCTCAGTTTTCCATTTGGAACTTTTCCATTCACCAGTAAATTTGATTTTCTTTCTGAGGAGAAGAGGCATTAGATGGCCCGAGTTAGCCATCTTGAAAAACATAATTGGAACTACATTGTAATTTGACTTTTGTAAAATATCTTCAGATATTTTTTAAGAACACTGTGTGTTTTTGGGTTTGTAAGTTTTTAAATTTAAAAAAACATTTAATTGACAAATGAAGATTGTATATATTCAAGGTGTACAGTGTGATAATCTGATATATGTATATATTGAATAATGATTATCATAATGAAATTAATTACAATATCCTTCACCACCCATGCTGTACATTAGATTCTTAGAAGTTGTTTATTTTATAACTGGAAATTTGTGCCATTTGACCAATATCTCCACATTTTCCCCACCCCCAGCACCTGGGAAACACAGTTCCACTCTCTAAGTGTTTCACTTTTTTAGATTCCACATATAAATGAGATCATACAGTATTGGTTCTTCTGTGTCTAGCATGTTGCACTTAGCAATAATATCTCCATGCTGTCAGAAATGAAATGTCTTTTTCCTGTTTTAAGCTGAATAATATTTATTGTTTGTATACATACACATTGTGATAAACACACACACACACATATATATATATGAAATTATATGCGGGGTGCGGTGGCTCATGCCTGTAATCCCAGCACTTTGGGAGGCTGAGGTGGGCAGATCACAAGGTCAGGAGTTCAAGACCAGCCTGGCCAACATGGTGAAACCCTGTCTCTACTAAAAATACAAAAAATTAGCTTTGCGTGGTGGTGCACACCTGTAATCCCAGCTACTTAAGAGGCTGAGGCGGGAGAATCGCTTGAACCTGGGAGGTGGAGGTTGCAGTGAGTCAAGATCGTGCCATTGCACTCCAGCCTGGGTGACAGAGCAAGACCCCATGTCAAAAAAAAATTATATATATGAAATATTATATATATATATATAAACATTTTCTGTATCCATTTATCCATCAGTGAACACTTGGATGGATTCCATAGCTTAGCCACTGTGAATAAAGCTCAATGAACATGGGAATCCAGATATCACTTTGACATACTAATTTCATTTCTTTTGGGCATGTAACCAGAAATTGGATTGCCTATAATTTCATTGTATTGCCTTTATAAATTACCAAGTCTCAGGTATTTCTTTGTAGCAATGCAAGAATGAACTAATACAGTTAGTCTACCTAAAGGTTTGTCAGATTTCTTCTTTTCAAAAAACCAACTCTTGGTTTTATTGATCTTTTCTATTGTCTTTCTTGTGTCTATTTTATTTTTGTTCTGATGTTTACATTTTCTTCTTTATCCTTTTAGCTAAGTTCTTCTTTTTCTTGAGGTGCAAAATTTGACTGTTATTTGAGATCTTTTTTTTCTTAATGAAGGCATTTATTGCTACAAATTTTACTCTTAGAACTGCTTATGCCGAATCTTTTAAGTTTTTGTATGTTATGTTTCCATTTTTGGTGTTCTTATAATGGTTTTAAACTTGCTTTTAATTTATTTTTTGGCCCTCAGTTGTTTAGGAACAAGTTGTTTAATTTTCACACATTTCTGAATTTTACAACATTTCTGCTATTGGTGATTTCTAGTTTTATAACATAGTGGTCATAAAAGATATGTGATATGATTACAATATTCTTAAATTTGTTAAAGGTTGTTTTGTGGCCCAAAATATGATATATTCTGATGAAGATTCCATATATACTTGAGAAAAAAATTTGTGCTACTGCTATTGGATAAAATGTTCCATATATATCTCTTAGGTCCATTTGTTCTATGCATTTGAATGAGCAAACACTTCTTTCAGTATTTACAGACTACTTTTGGCAGATGAAGACCTTCTCCTGTTGATTTCCTGTGCTTATTGGATTATCTCCAAGATTGTGGCCAAGTGGTGTTTGAACCAGGTCATGTGACTGCTGCTGGTTTTGCATTGGAATTTGCACTTAGTGGGCCTGTTACCAGGGGCTCTAGGGAGTATGAATCCTATATGTTTTTTGAGTGGACTGGACTGACTCCAGGTCTTTGGTCAGCAGATCTGGCACTGGAATAAGGATCTACTTCAAAATCTGCAGATGGTTTTCCTGTTTCCAGGTGATGAACGGGTACTGCTTCTTCTAGGTCTCTGGGAGGGCTTATGCTGGGTAATTCTGAGAATCCTCAGACAGATAATACCGACCCTAGACCATGGCTGGAAGGGCTTTGAACTGAGTCCAGGACTGGTTCAAGTCTGTAGCCATGACTGAGGCCTATAAGCCTGCCATTGGTGTCAGAAGTGGATTTGTATTCTAGTGGCTTCCTGGGAAAGCAGGACTGTTCTCAGACCATAGCTGACATGAGCTGGAGTCAATTTACAGGGCTGTTTTAAGATTCACAGTGGGGCCAAGGTCAGTAGGCTTGCCTACAGAGGCAATGCTGAGTGAATTTTTCTCTAGGTCCCTCCGCAGTGTGGAAAGAACTGCTCTCAAACTGCAACTTAGAGGGGCTGGGCTGAGTTGCAGAGCTATCTCAGGATCTGCTGTGGGGCCAATGCCAGCTGGCCTGGCTACAGGGGCATGGACAGGCATGCATTCCTTCAGGCAGAGCTGCTCTCAAACTGCAGTAAGAAGGACTGGGGCTAAGTTTGCAAACCATTTTAGTATCTACCGTGGAACTGAAGTCAGAAGGCCTTCCCCAGTGACACTAGTGTGCATGACTCCTCCTGGGCCTTTGGCAGATAGTTTTGGTCACAGAAACAAGGTAAAATAGTGCTGTAGACAAGTCCACAGGGAAATAAGGCTGTTTCCAGGTTTGGCATCAGGACAATGGTTTTTGAGTCTAGCACTGGGGCATGGGTCTTGCCTCTTAAAAAGGCATTCCTAGGTCCGAGGTGCCACCAGAGTTTCACAACCTCCTACCTCAGTCCTAATGTTTCCACAAATGCACTTTTGTCCATGGATGCCTGCAAAATTATTGTTGTCATAAGGAGATATGAGTGCACCAGCTCCTAACTCTCCATCTTGCTGAATATCACTCTTCTCATTTTATGATTTTTATCTACTGGCTTTTGATTAGTATGATAAAGTATGTTAAATATTTACCTAAGACTAAACCTTTTCTAGCTGATATTTTATTTAAGGTTTTGCATCTGAAATTGTACTGCATTTTTCTTTTTTATCTATTTGCTATGTCAGTTTTGCTATCAATATTATGTGAGCTTTAAAATAAATGTTTGCAATTTTTTTTATTCGTGTTCTGCAACTGTGTTAGTTTGCTAAGGTTGTCATAATGTTATAGGAGTTATTAAGAAATTATCTTAGGCAGATAAAGAGGAAAAGAGGTCCTTGGGAAGTTGTTGTTTCTTTTAAAGCAGCTCCAGAAATGTTTCTTGTCTAGCAGGAAAGCACTGGTTCTTAGAGTCAGGCTGGCCACCTTTGATATGCAAATGCTGGCCATTAGAAACTGGGTCTGCCCAAACATGGCAATTCCTGTCGCCTTCTTGCCCTTGCCCCAACATGTGTCTGGCAACATGGCCTCCCCAACATATCCCCATGTGTAGAACATCATGGCGCACTGCATTTGCATAATAAAAGGCTAGGGCGGAAGGGCCAGCTTTTTCATGGGCTATGTGAATGACATGCCTGGTCAAACCAATCCCCTGAGCCCTATGCAAATCAGACACCACCTCCTCCAGCCTACTCATATAAGTAGCCACTTTTCTGTTGCACATGGGGTCTCCTCTCTTGGCTTTGGGAACCCCTCCCTCTGTCTGTACAGGGGAGCTTCTTCCTTCTTTCTTCTCCCTTCTTTCTTGCCTATTAAACTCTCCACTCCTTAAAATCACTCCACAGGTGTCCATGTCATTTTACCCAATTCCCACGAAACAAGAGCCCTGGGGGCCGGGCGCGGTGGCTCACGCCTGTAATCCCAGCACTTTGGGAGGCCGAGGCGGGTGGATCATGAGGTCAGGAGATCGAGACCATCCTGGCTAACAAGGTGAAACCCCGTCTCTACTAAAAAAATACAAAAAATTAGCCGGGTGTAGTGGCGGGCGCCTGTAGTCCCAGCTACTCGGGAGGCTGAGGCAGGAGAATGGCGTGAACCCGGGAGGCGGAGCTTGCAGTGAGCCGAGATCGCGCCACTGCACTCCAGCCTGGGCAACAGAGCGAGACTCCGTCTCAAAAAAAAAAAAAAAAAAAAAAAAAAAAAGAGCCCTGGTGTTCCTCCACTCATCGGAGCTGTATCAATAGCAACGTACCAAAGAGTTGGATGGATTAAACAAGATAAATTTATTTCTCACAGTTCTAGAGGGATAGAAGTATAAGATCAAGGAATCTACAAGTTTACTTTTTTCTAAGTCCTCACTCCTTGGCTGACAATGGCTGTCATCTTGCTGTGTCCTCACATGATCTTTCATCTGTGCCCACATTTTCTTGCTGTCACTCTGTGTGTGCAAATTTTCTCTTCGTATAAGAACACTGGTCAGATTAAATTAGGCTTCGCACAAGTGGCCTCATTTTGACTTAATTACAGCTTTAGGGGCTACATCTGAATAGTCACATTCTGAGATATGGAGTGTTAGAGATTTAACATCTGAATATTGGGGGCACACAATTCAGCCCATCACAGAAAGAGTTAAAATAATACTGGATTCATCTGTATTCTAAAGATTTAAGATAATTGACCTACAAAGACATTCCATGACTAATAAGTTTTAAGTAGTTCTTTGACTACTTTTTCAAAACTGTTTTCTCCAATGACAATTTGTCTGTTTAGATTTTCTAGCTTTTTAAAGAAACAATTTTGTCATTTTATATTTCCCAAAAAAATCAGGTATTTCATCTATATCATCTTTGATATTATTTTTATAAACTTGAATTAATTATGTTATTATATCATTTTTTCTTCTTCTGTATCAGTGTTCACTTCCCCATTTATATTTTTCATGTGCGTATTTTTTGCTTTCTTCTTTTTTCAAATTTTTAGGCATGTTAGTGATGTATCTATCTATATTTAAGGAACAAATTATTTGATTTACTTATGAGATCTACCGCTACCGTTTATTTTTCAAATTTTTTCTTTATTTTCATTGTGGTCAATACTCTGGTTAAAAACTGGGATATTCTGTGGTCTTGAGTTCATCCTGGGGCTGTGTGAGACATAAATAAACTCTTTGCAAGTTGGAGAATTGTAGTATTGTTGGTAATTTAAGAGCCAGGTTTTCAGAGTCAAATACGCATGAATATAGATCCTGAACATGTATGATTTCAGACAAGTTATTTAAACTCCAATACCTCAGTTTATTTGGAAAAGAAGTGTAAGTGTACCTATCAATGTGGATGATGAAAGGACTACATAAGATATCAGAGTTGTTAAGAGGAAAGGTTCTGCAGAGTCATTGGTCTTAAATCATCAATCCATTTACGCTCTGTGTGACTGTGTTTAAATGATTTATCTTTTCTCTGCCTGAGTTTCTTCATTTGTAAAATAGAAATAATAATAATACTTACCCAGGTTACTTTTGAAAAATAATTAGGATTAGTACTTTTAAGCACTTCAGAGAGTGACTGGCCCTTAGTAAAATAGTAAAAGAAATGAAGAATTAGTATTACTACTAGTGTATTTGGGCCCTGATATTTAGAAATAGCCTCAATAAACAATAAATGACTATTAATGAGAAAGGAAATGTTAATATATTAGAACTGCCTATATGTACATTTATCTGAGAACCTGACCTATAAATATGTTGTAAATTAACTCTAATTGTCTTAACCAATAATTTGTTTCATGAAATCGTTTATTTTTTGTCATTTACTTTTTAAAAATTGTAGTGAGATATGCTAATATAAAATTTCCCATTCTAACCATTTTTAAGTGTACAGTTCAGTGGCATTAACTATATTGTTAATGGAAATCTTGTTAATGTACATTGTTGTGGAAACATCACCACCATCTACCTCTAGAACTTTTTACATTCAAAAACTGAGAATTTACCTATTAAACAATAATTACCCATTTCTCCTACACCCATCCCCTGGCAACTACCATTCTACTTTCTGTCTGTATGAATTTGACTACTTTAGTACTTCTATACCAAATATAAGTGTATTTGTCCTTTTATGACTAGCTTATCTCACTAAGTCTTAGGCAATGTATTTAAGATTTATCCATGTTGTAGCATGTGTCAGAACTGTCTTCCTCTTCAAGGCTGAATAATATTGCATTGTTCATATATTAGACCCTCCATATTTTTGGGTTCCGCATCCATAGGTTCAAATTGCCATAGATCAAGAATATTTTGAAAAAATGGATAAATGCCTCTGTACTGAGCATGTAAAAATAATTTTTCCTTGACATTATTTTCTAAACAGTAGAATATAACAATTATTTACATTGCACTTACATTGTATGGGGAATTATAAGTAATCTAGAGATGATTAAAAATACAAAAGAGCATGTGCATATGTTAAATGCAAATACTACATCATTTTATATTAGGGACTTAGGCATCCATAAGTGGATTTTGGTATCCACAAAAGTCCCTAAAACCAATCCCCCATAGATACTGAGAAACTACCATATATACCACATTTTGTGTATTCATTAGTCTGTGAATGGACATTTGGGTTGTTTCCACCTTTTGACTCTTGTAAATACTGCTGCTATGAACATGGGTGTACAAATATCTGATTGAGTCCATGATTTCAACTCTTTTGCTGATATACCCAGAAGTGGAATTACTACATCATATGGTAATTCTATACTTAATTTTTTGAAGAACTACCAAACTGTGTTTTGCAGCAGCTGCAATACATTACATTTCTAATGGCAGTGCACAAGTATTCCAATTTCTCCAAGTATTTTCTGTTTTTTGTTTTTTTTTCTTTTTTTTTTTTGTTTTGGAGATAATCATTATAATGGGTGTAATGTGTGATCTCATTACGGTTTTTATGTGCATTTCCCTAATAATTAGTGATATCAAACATGTTATGTGCTTATTGGCCATTTGTATCTTCAATGTCTATTCAAGCCTTTTACCCATTTTATAATTTGTTTTTTTTGTTGTTGTTGTTTTTAAGTTGTTAAATTCTAGGTGTTCTTTACATATTCTGGATACTAACATGTTATATATAATTTGCAAATATTTTCTCCCATTCTCTGGATTGACTTTTCCTTCTGTTGATAGTACTCTTTGATGCCAAAAAACTTAATTTTGATGTAACCTAATTCATCCTTTTTTCCTTTTGTTTACTATGCTTTTGATGTGCCATTCAAGATATCATTACCAAATCCAGTGTCACAAATCATGTCCTTATATGTTCTTCTAAAGTTTTATAGTTTTAGTGTTTAAATATATGTTTTTCTTACATTTTTAATTTTTTTTATATATAAAGTAAGGGCCCTACTTTATTATTCTTTTTTATGTAGATACTCAGTTTTCTCAACATCTGTTGAAAACACTTTTTTCCCCATTGAATGGGTCTTGGCATCCTTGTCAAAAATCATATGAACATTATGCAATTTTTTTCTATAATCTCTGTTCAATTCTATTGATCTATATATCTTTCTTTATGCCAGTCCCAGACTGTTTTGATTGCTTTAGTTTTGTAATATATTTGCTATCAGAAAGTATAAGAGCTCCAATTTTCTTTCAATATTGCTTTAGCTGTTTGGTATCCCTTGAAATTTCATATTAATTTTAAGATGTATATTTCTATTTCTGCAAAATCTTTACTGGGATTTTGAAAAGGATTTCATTTAATTCTCACATTTCTTTGGGTAGTACTGCAACATCTTAACAATATGAAGTCTTTAAATCCATGAACACAAGATATCTTCCTATTTATTTGTGTCTTTTTCAATTTAATTCAGCAATATTTTTAGTTTTGAGTGTACAAGTTTTTCACCTCTTATTTTAAAGTTTATTCCTAAGTAGTTTTATTATTTCTGATGCTATTTTAAATGACGCGTTGTCTTGATTTTCTTCTCAGATTTTTTGTTGGTAGTATATAGAATAGCCACTGATATTTGTGGGTTATTTTTTTATCTTGCAATTTTGCTAAATTGATTAGTTCTAAGAGTTTTTTTGGGAATCTTTAGGGTTATCTATATATGGGTTATGTCATCTTCAATAAAAAATAGTTACTTTTTCTTTTCCAACTTGGAAGTCTTTTATTTCGTCTTTTTTCTTTTTTTGGCCTAATTGTTCTAGCTAAAACTTCCATTACTTTGTTGAATAGAAGTGGCAAAAATAGGCATCTTTGTTTTGTTAATGTATTATTAATACATTAAATCAATACTAAAACATTTTATTAATATTAATATTAAAACATTTCATTAACATTAACATTAAATTAATATTAAAACATTTTATTTTAATGTATTAAAAGGCATCCACAATTATTATAGCAATAAAATATTCAGACATCAACAGTTGTTTGTGTATAATAGACACAATCTATGGGTAACTTTTTAAAGAATATTGAATTTTCTTGTGACACGTGATATATAGAATTTGGACATGGACAGGACATAATTGACATTATTTTTGTGAAGAGCAAAGATTAGGTATTTTTAGTTAGTCCTGTTAACAGAGTTTATATTAAAAAAACACACTATAAAAAGTGTCTTATAGTTGTCCTAAATTATATGTAATATTGCTTTCATATTTAGTTTGCAGATCATTTGACATATATACTGCATAATTTAAATTTTAAGGCGCACAAAAACTGCATATCACATTCATGCAATTAATTGATGAGCTGTAGCATGAGTCCAAAACTACTTTCTTGGAACAAAAAGATAGATTCTCAAATAAATAAGCATACATCCAAAAAATAAGCTACATTTAAGCTATGAATATAATGTATCAAAAATATAGTTCTGTCCTCTGTTTCATGTTGTTATACTTCAGTAATATATGATACATGTGTCTCAAAACAAAAATAACATGGGTACTATGCTAGTTAAAATTAATAACCTTATACATTATAGAAATAATACTTGATTTGTATATTTATTATATTACTAATAATTTCAACACAAAAATATAAATTTGGTCATATGATGTATATACATTTATGTGTATCTTTGTGATTATGTCTGTTGTGGTATATAAATTCCTTGAGGGCATGCGTTGTGTATGTTTAATTTGCATTGTAATTATATGTGACAAAGTAACATTAACTAGTGTTTGCTTGATAATATATCTGCTAGTAAATCAATTATTAAGGGACTTAGAATCATTAATGTGATTATTTTACAATCAAATTATAATATAGAGAAATCAAGTTTCTCTCACAACATTTATTTTGTTCTTCTTTCAATTTTACCAAGTTAAGGCACTAAAGTTAAAGCATAGTAAAAGGTCACCAAAAGTGAAAAGGACATAGCAGATTGGAGTTTAGGGCTGACTCAAAATTTCAGCTCAGTTGTCAAATGAAATCTGCTTAATTTTAAAACTCTTAGCTTTTTATCACCCAGAAATTATGGGCAGAATTTGTTTCAATCTCAGATAATAGAAGTAAAGCATTGTCATTACATTTTGGCCAGAAGAATTGCTCAGAGTTGACTGCTGTAAGCAAATTTCAGTATACTATGCTTAAGTTAATAAAGATGTAGTTAAATTTATTTTTCCAATAAGACAGCTCTTGAACAATTCATTCAGGCACCTTCACATTAGCATATTTCACATTTTGCAATAATACTTTCTCAAATTTCAAGTTTTATCTGTAATGAAAGGAAATACGATTACAGACTATTATAAGATGTGTATGTTATCTAACATTGCTCTTTATAACTTAGCTTAAACTAAATATTTTCTTGAAATGCAACTCCACATGGAATCTTACAACATATTTTCCTTGTGTATATGTAAAGTCAAGTTTATATAGATATGGATAGATATTATATATACACACACATAGATCTTTGTATGTTATTTTTATTTAACTGAGGAATTCATTTTCTCAGTATTTTATTTAAAACTACTTATTGGTAAATTGTTCTCATGTGTCCCACCCATCTAGCTTTATATTAATTTGTGTAAGAATATTATCTTGTCAGTTCATGCTGCTATAACAAAACACTTGAGACTAGATAATTTATAAAGAACAGAAATTTATTTCCTCACAGTTCTGGAAGCTGAAAAGTCCAATCTCCAGACACTGGTATATTTGGTTTCTAGTAAAGGCCTGTTCCTTACACATGGCATCATCTAGATATCCTCACATGATGGAAGGGATAGGAAGGACAGCAAGGGGATGAACATTGTATTATCATATGGCAGAGAAGCAGAGGATAGTGAACCCATTCCTCAAGCCTTTTTTATAAAGCCCCAATCCAATCCCTGAAGACTTCCTTCCTCAATTTCATCACTTCCTAATGGCCGCACCTCTTAATACTACCATGTTGGTAATTTAGTTTCAAGATACAAATTCTTGGAGGCAAATGCTTATGTCTTACATTGATAGCCATTTTAGACATTAGTCCAAATAAAGTTGAGATTATAAAGATGTTTACACACAGAATGGAAGACAATATTTGCAGATCATGAATCTGATGAGAGACTTGCGTCAAGATTATTTGGAGAACTCATACAACTGAATAATAAAAAGACAAATAATACAGGCAAAAACATTAATAAACATTTCTTCAAATTGTATATAAAATGACCAATTCACACATAAAAAGATATCCAATATTGTTAGTCATCAGGGAAATGAAAACGAAAACAAAGATGAGTAACCATTTCATAGAGGAAGCCTATAATTTAAAAAAAAAACAAAAACAAGTGTTGGTGAAGATGTGGAAAAATCAGAACTCTCACATATTGGTTGTAAAAATGTAAAATGTAGCAGGTACTTTGTAAAACACTCTGAAAGTTATTCTAAATTTTACATATACTTACCACATAACCCACCTATTCTGCATTCCACTTTAGATATATACTCAAGAGAAATAAAAACTTGTGTCCACTGAAAATGTTTTACATGAGTGTTCACATCAGTATTATAAATAATAGCTCAAAAGTGGAAAGAAATCAAATATTCATACAAAAGATGATCAGATAAACAGACTGTTATGTAGGCATACGGTGGAATATTATTTAACCATAAAAGGGAATAGCATACTGATACATACTAGATAAATTTTGAAAACGTAATGTTAGGCAAAAGAAGGCAGTCACAAAGACCACATATATGATAATATTTATATGAAATGAAAAAGTCTGGAGAAAATATAAAACAAATATTTCATTAACTAATATTTCTTATAACAATTAACATTAGATTTTGACATGTGAAAATGAAATTAAAGAACATATTCTGTGCATGACAATTCTGAAAATAGGGCTTTTGTTTTCCAGTTCTGCATGTAAGGAGCTTGGAAGATGCCACTTCTTTCTAGCAAGGAAAAAAATTAAGAAGCCTGAAAAATGTACTACTCTTCCGGATAAATAAGAAATGCAAGGACACAGGGAAAACCATTGCTCCCAAGATTGGAGAGGCAGATAGGCTTACTAAGAGTCAGAGCTTATTGGAGAAGAAACTCATAAGCAAAAACCACAACAGGTAACAGTGATGGAGTAGGAAAACACAAGCTATAATTGATAAATTGCTTAAGGCTTTGTGTGTACAAGTCTGATAGTTAAAACTCCAGGAGGACCCAGTGAAAGCAGGTACACCATACTAATGTGAGTTAAATTTACCTCCAGAAGCTGGAGCAGGTCTCACACTAAATATGGGAGAAGCTATCCCTGTTCAAGATGGCTGACTAGAAACAGCTAGTGAGTGCCTATATCATGGAGAAGAATTAAAATAGTAAGTACATATTGGCACTTCCAGTGGATTGTCTAAGGGAGTATCCTTAAATTCACCAGGGAAGCATTGGGAACCATAGAAAGCAGAGGAGAGTGAAGCTACGCAGCCTGAAGAGCCAGTACTGGTGTGAACCTGGGAGAGGCCTCCTAACATATGGAAGGGGTGAGTGAGTGAGAGACCCAAGGGGTTCCACACTTCCATCATGGACCTTTACAACCCTCATGACAGGAGAGTCCTTTTTAACCCCTCTCCCCCAGCGGGTCTCCAGATTGAAATGGGGAGCTGCCTGGAGACTGAGCAAAGGTACTGCTCAAGCCCACATGGAATCAACAAGCTTTTGATACCCAAGCAGCTCCATGCCAGCCACCACTGCCTTGCCAAGGAGAGAGGCCAAGCACTTTTGCACACTCCCAGGACAGATACTACCCTCAGGACAGATGCCACTCCCATTGTACAAAGCAGCAGGCGGATGACACATTACATGACCCTTCACCTCTATTGAACCCCACCAAATTGGGTTAGTCTGCTTTGGAGACAGGCCTCCAGCACACCAGCCCCATCCCCACCTGAACACTGCAACTGAAGCTTAACTCCCAGAGGCTGGTAATATGCTCTCTGCAGCCTCTGACACTGCTGCCTTTGCCTCTGCTATCCATGGGCCAGGCAGGGAACATGGAGGCAGGGCACTTTTAGGCACTGTCAAAGTAGATACCAAAATCAGGGCACAGAGGCATGGGCAGACTATGCAATGCATGATCCCCCACCTCTGTGGCTTCTTCCCATGCAGGGCTTGCCTGCTTCAGTGACAACCTTGTGGTGCAGTGCAGCTCCCCTTCCCCAAGTTGAACACTGTGACCACAGCTCAGCATTCCTCTGAGAGCCTAAGTGCTACCACACCTGCCTCTGCCACTGCCAACCACAGGCTAGGAATGTAATGAGGAGGTGGGGCATTTTTGCATGCATGTAAGACAGAACCTGCAGCCACAGTGTGGAGAAGAAGGCAGACTGCACACTGCGTGACCCCTTGCCTTTGTAGCTCTTTTCCAGGTGGAGCTTACTTACACAGTAACAGTCTCCCAGTGCACCCACCCTGTCCCCATCTGAAGACTGTGGCTATAGCTGAACTTCCAGGGCCACTGATAGGCCATCCTGGGCATATGTCACTGCTGCCTCTGTCCACCCCTGCCACCCTAGGACCAGGGAGGGTATGGGTAGGCCAGGCAACTTTACATGCTCCCAATGGTGAAACCCAGTGCCACTTCTATGGCAGGAAACTGCAAGCAGGCCATATGCCCCGCAGCTGCCAGTTTTCACTACCCCAGCCATGGGGTCCTAACTTTCCCAGTAAGAAGCTCACAGTACAGCCATCCTGCTCTTTCCTGACCATTTCACCTGCAGCCCAGCCTCTAAGGCCTGTGATCTTCCCTCTGACTTCCACTGCCTGAGCATTCTCCCTGCCCTAACCTGACTGTTCTGTCAGTGACCCAGAGACCAATCCATCCCTCCTAATCACAGCAGCTCCTAAATTCTGGGCTGATATAATCCTGGTCTAGCCCCTTCTGGACTCATATATGCCATCCAGTGGGCCACTTAGGGGCCTGAAAGTCAAGAAGTTATCTAACCTGGTCCACGACTCCTGGCACCTGACTACCCACCAGGAGGTCAGGCCAGCCCAACTAGCGGATACCATCACAACTGCTGCCCACGTGCGTGGGTCAAAAGGTGGAGCCCCTACCCTCCTCAGCACAAAGCAGCAGCCTTGCGACATTGGAGAAGAGGTGAGCCATAAAGCTGTCTGTACTGGGCTGAGTGAAGAGGTTCCATCCTGAAACCACTCCCACAGAATGCTACAGTACAGGCATTTCCATGTGTCTCAGCTACACTGTAGCCTGAAGGTAGACAAAAGTGTGAATCTGAATCATAAGCAGTGGGACAGGAGTGTGATAGAAAAGCTAATCACATTCCTGCATATCTAGCACATGGAGCTGGAACAATCATTCACCCCATGCAATGACCTCAGTGCATCTCACCAGGAGCTCCCCCAGCCACCCCAGTCATCTGTGCTTGTCACTGAGGAAACTGTGAGGAAGTCAGGGAGTCACGCTCTGCTCCGCTGTGTTCCCCCCACCACACTGAACCCGAAGCTGAGGGTAGTAGGCATTCCAATGTGCAGCGCATCACCTAAGGAAAGTAGAAAATACTTCAAGTTAAACACAAATCAAATACACACAGAGTGGCTCCTGCCTCTATTGCGTCTTAAGCATAAGCATCACCTACTGGCCTGCAGGTCAAACTGCACAGACCAAGAAAAAGCCTGCTGACAGAAGTGCAAATAGCTATAGGAGCAAAGACAAAAGGCTGTACCCGACATACTCTATAGTCACACTCCCTAAAAGAAGAATATATATATTAAGGGTTGGGGGGGGCGGGGGTGGAGAGAGAGAGACAGGGAGAGAGAGGGGGAAAGAGAGAGAGAGAGAAGAGACCATCCAAGCAAAAATAAATTCAAAAAGAAGTGCCAACTTCTCCAGATGAGAAAGAAGCAGCATAAAAATTCTGGCATCATGAAAAACCAGAATGTAGTCACAACACCAAGAAATCATACTAACTCTCTAGCAACAGACCCTAAAAACATTTAAAACTCAGAAATGACAGATGATGTATTCAAAGCATGAATTACAAGGAAGTATAATGACGTCCAAGAGAAGGTTGAAAATTAACACAAAGACATCATGAAAGCAATTGAGGAAATAAAGGAAGACATGATAAAGGAAAAACAACAAAGAGAACTTCTCAAAATTAAAAAAAAAATCACTTAAGAAACTTCCAAATACAGTGGAAAGCTTTAACAGTAGACTAGACTAAGCACAAGAAAGAATTTCAGAGCTTGAAGACCAGTTTTTGAATTAAGACAAACAAAATAAAGAAAAAATAATTTAAAAAACAAAGCTTTGAGAAATATAGAATTATGTAAAGTGATCAAACCTATGACTTATAGACATTCCTGAGAGAGAATAAAAAGTAAGCCATCTAAAAAAAATAGTAATTCAAGAAAACTTCCCTAATCTCTCTAGAGAAGCAGTTGTGCAGATACAAGAATTTTAAAGAAAACCTTCAAGATATTATAAAAATACACACATGAACAAGGCATGTAGTTATCAGACTATCCAAGGTCAATGGTACAGAAAAATTCTTAAAGGCAGCCAGAGAAAAGGGTCAAAACACCTATAAAGTTTATATGGTTTGAATCTGTGTCCTCATCCAAATCTCGTGAAACTATAACCCTCAGTGTTGAAGTTGCGGTCTGTGGGAGGTAATTGGATTATGGCAGAAGTGTCTTGTATTAGTCAGGGTTCTCTCAGAGGGATAGAACTAATAGGATATATATATATATATATAACTATACATATATATAAAACTATACAAGCTGTCAGTGGCTTTACTATTCCAGGGTCAGGAAGACAGTGGTCATTTTGGCACAGCTCCTATATAACATATATATAATATATTCCATATTAACTTACATGATCACAAGGTCTCAGAATAGGCTGTCTGCAAGCTGAGGAGCACGGAGAGCCAGTCCGAGTCCCAAAATTGAAGAACTTGGAGTCTGATGTTCAAGAGCAGGAAGCATCCAGCATGGGAGAAAGATGTAGGCTGGGAGGCTCGCCCCTCTCGTTTCTTCATGTTTTCCTGCCTGCTTTATGTTCACTGGAAGCTGATTAGATTGTGCCCACCAGATTAAGGGTGGATCTGCCTTCCCCAGCCCACTGAATCAAATGTTAATCTCTTTTGGCAACACCCACACAGACACATCCAGGGCTAATAATTTGTATCCCTCAATCCAATCAAGTTGACACTCAGTATTAACCATCACATTGCTCATGAATGGTTTACCACTATCCCCTTGTTGCTATTCTTGTGAAAGCGACTTTTTATGAGAACTGATTGTTTAAAAGGGTGTGGCAGTTTCTGCCTCTCTCTCTTGCTCCTGCTCTGGCCATGTAAGATGTGCCTGCTTCCCCTTTACCTTCTGTCATGATTGAAAGTTTCCTGAGGCCTCTCCAGAAGCCAAGCAGATGTCAGCATCATGCTACCTGTACAGCTTGCAGAACTGTGAGCCAATTAAGTTTTTTTCTTTATAAATTACCCAGTGTCAGGTATTTCTTTATAGCAATGTGAGAACACACTAATACAAAAAATTGGTACCAAGTAGTGGGACACTGCTATAGAGATTTCTAAAACTATCAAAGCAATGTTGGAACTGGATAATGGGCAGATGTTGGAAGATTGTGGAGGGCTCAGAAGAAGACAAACATGAGGGAAAACTTGGAAATTCTTAGGGACTTGTTAAATTGTTGTGACCAAAATGCCTATAGTGATATGGACAATGAAGTCCTGGCTGACGAGGTCTCAGATGGGGATGAGGAACTTATTGGGAAGTGGAGCAAAGATCACTTTTGTTATGCATTAGCAACGAACCTGGTGGCACTGTGCACCTGCCCTAAGGATCTGTAAAACTTTGAACTTGAGAGTGATGGTTTAGGGTATTTGGTGGAATAAATTTCTAAGCAGCAAAGCATTCAAGGTATGACCTGGCCATGTCTAACAGCCTATGTTCATAAGTGTGAGCAAAGCAATGATGAAAAACTGGAGCATATATTTAAAAGGGAAGCAGAGCATAAAATTTTGAAACTTTGCAGCTTGGTCATGCATTAGAAAAGAAAAGCCCATTTTCATGGGAGGAATTCAAGCAGGCTGCAGAAATTTGCATAACTAAAAAGATTGCAAATGCTAATAGCCAAGACAAAGGGGAAAAGGCCTCAAAGCCATTTCACAGACCTTCATGGCAGCCCTTCCCATCACATGACCAGAGGCTTAAGAGGAAAAGATGGTTTGGAGGGCCAAGCCCAGGGCCCCGCCACCCTGTACGACCTCAGGACACTGATCCCTGTATCCAAGCCTTTCCAGCTCCAGCCATGGCCAAAAGGGGCCAAGGTACAACTCATGCTGCTGCTGCAGAGGGTGCAACCTATAAGCCTTGACAGTTGCTACAAGGTGTTAAATAGAGTCCATAGAGTTAAATACGGTCCATAGAGTGCAAGAGCTGAGTCTAGGGAGTCTACTACTAGATTTCAGAGGATGTGTGCAAAAGTCTAGATGTCCAGGTAGAAACCTGCTGCAGGGGCAGAGCCCTCATAGAGAACCTCTACTAGGGCAGTGGGAGGGGAAATGTCAGGTTGGATCCCCCACACAGAGTCCACACTGAGACACTGCCTAGTGAAGCTGTGACAAGATGACCACTGTCTTCCAGATCGTGGAATAGTAGAGCCACTGACAGCTTGTACCATGCACCTGAAAAAGCCACAGGTACTCAGCACCAGCCCATGAGAGCAGCTGCACAGGCTGTTCCCTGCAAAGCCACAGGGGTAGAGCTGCCCAAGGATGTGGGAGCCCACCCCTAGCATCAGTATGTCCTGGATGTGGAGCATGGAGTCAAAGGAGGTTATTTTGGAGCTTTAAAATTTAATGACTGCTCTTCTGGGTTTAAGACTTGCATGGAGCCTATATCCTCTTTCTTTTGGTTGATTTCTCCCTTTTGGAACAGGACTATTTAGCCAATGCCTATCCCTCCATTGTATCTTGCAAGTAACTGACTTTTTTTTCTTTTATTTTGCAATCACATAGGTGGAAGGGACTAGCCTTGTCTCATATGAGACTTGGGACTGTGAACTTTTGCATTAATGCTGGAATAAGTTAAGTCTTTGGGGGACTGTTGGAAAGGCATGACTGTATTTTGACACGTGAGAAAAACATGAGATTTGGAGGGGCCATTGGCAGGATGATATTGTTTGGATCTGTTTCCTCACCTAAATCTCATGTAGAATTGTAGCCACCAGTGTTTGAGGAAGGGCCTGGTGGGAGGTAACTGGATCATGGCAGTGGTTTCTCATGAATGAGAGCACCATCCTTTTGGTGCTTTTCTTGTGATAGTGAGTTCTTCTAAGATCTGGTTGTTTAAAAGATTTTGGCACCTTCCTCCTCTCTCTATTACTCCCACTCTGGACATATAAGCCAAGCCTGCTTCCCCTTTGCCTTTCACCATGATTGGAGGTTTCCTGAGGCCTTTCCAGGAGTGATAAGATACCAGTATCATGTAACCATGCAACCATGAGGCAATTAAACCTCTTTTTTTTTTTTTTTTATAACCTATCCAGTCTCTGGTATTTTTTACAGCCATGTTAGAATGCACTAATCCAAAAGTAAAACTTTTCTGATTAACAGCAGAATTGTCACCAGAAACCCTAATAGCCAGGAGAGATTGGGGACCTATTTTTAGCCTCCTTAGAGAAGAAGAAAAGAATATCAGCTAATAATTTTCTGTGCTGTCAAACTAAGCTTCATAAACGAAGGAGAAATGTAGTCATTCTCAGACAAGTAAACTCTAAGGAAATATGTCACCACAAGACCATTCCTACAAGAAATGCTTAAAGGAGTTTTAAACATGGAAACATAAGGATAACAATCACCATCAGAAAAGCACACACAGCTATAAAACTCATAGATCTTATTAAAAAAACCTGCAGAATTGAAACAGAATTAAAACATCTCACTTGCAAACATCTCACTACTTTAGGAACAAAACTTCACACATCAATATTGATCTTGAATGAAAATGGCCTTAATGGCTTACTTAAAAGATAGAGACTGGCAAATTGGATTTAAAAAAATGATAATAAGACCCAACCATCTGCTGTCTACAAGAGATCCATGTACTGTTTCAAGGTACGTTAGGACTCAAAGTAAAAGGGTGGGAAAAAAAAAATCACACAAATGCAAAATAAATGTGATCAGGAGTAATCTTTATTATATTGGATAAAACAGATTTTAGGCCAACAGCAGAAAACAAGACAAAGAAGGCCATTATAACATAAAGGTTTCTACGCAACAGAAAGTTTTAACTATTCTAAATATATATGCACCCAACACCAGAGCACCCAGATTAAAACTAGTACGACCCAACCTAAGAAAACAGATTAACAACAGTACAATAATAATAGTGGATATCAACACCAAACTGACATCACTAGCCAGATTAATGATGCAGAAAATCAACAAAGCAACTCTGGATATAAACTGGACTACTGACCAAATATACCTAATAGACATTTACAGAACATTTTACTCCCAAACCACACAATACATATTCTTTTCACCTGTGCACAGAATATCCCCTGAAATTTACCACATGCATGGTAAAAAACCAAATCTCAATAAATTCAAAAACATCAAAATCATGTCAAGCATCCACTTTGACCACAGTGGAAAAAATTAGAAATCAATTCCAAGAAGAACTCTTAAAAACTAAACAAGTACATGGAAACTAAAGAACTTGCTCCTGAATGTCTCCTGGTTAAACAATGAAATTAAGACAGAAATCAACAATTTTTTTTAACAAGAATGAAAAGAGACAAAACACACCAAAACAGCTGGGATACAGCAAAACCAGTGCTCAGAACAAGTTTATAGCATTAAACACCTACATCAAAAAGCTAAAAATATTTTAAATTAACAATGTAGGGTTGCATCATAAGAAAATAGAAAAGGAAGAACAAATAAAACCAAAAGCTAGGGGAAAAAAAGAATTAACAGAGAATGCAGCAGAATTAAATTTAAAAAAACCATCCAAATAATCTGTTTCTTTGAAACAGTATATCTGGTTCTTTGAAAGAAAAAACAATATTGACTGACTGCGAGCTAGACTAAACTAGGAAAAAAAGAGAAAAGAAATGATAAAGGTGACATTACAATTGATATCACAAAAATACAATAGATCATCAGAGAATCCTGTGAACATCTCTACATGCACAAACTGGAAAACCTAGAAGAAATGGATATTTTGCTGGAAACATACAACCTCCAAGACTGAACCAGGAAGAAAGAAACTCTGAACAGATCCATATTGAGCAATGAAATCAAATTAGTAATAAAAAATCTTCCAGCAAATAAAAGGCCAGGACCAGACAGACTCACAGCCAGTTTTTAACCAAATGTATATAGAAAAGCTGATACCAAAATAATTTCAACAAAATTGAAGAGGAGGGATCCCTCTATAACTTATTCTACAAATCCAGTATCACCTTTGTACCAAAACCAGGCAGTGATACAACAACAACAGCCAAAAGGATAGCACAGACCAATACCCTTGATGAACACAGATGCAAAATCCTCAACAAAATACTAGCAAATTCAATCCAACAGCATGTCAAATAAATAATTTATTATTATCAAGTGGGTTTCATCCTTGGAATTGTGTGTGTGTGTGTATGTGTGTGTGTGTGTGTGTGTGTGTGTAGAGAGAGAGATTATCAGGCTCAATCTATATTCCCACTTCAGCATCCTTAGCAGCTGGAATTATAGGCAAGAGTCACCATGCCTGGCCTGATTAGTGATTATAGCAAGGTTGCAGGATATAATGAAAGATTAATATAAAAAACAATTACTTTCCTATATACCAGCAACGAACAAGAACAACCTGAATTTTAAAATACAATACCAATTACGTTAGCATGCTCCAAAATGAAATGTTTAGGTATAATTCTAACAAAATGTGTACAAGATTTTTACAGGAAATTTACAAACTGTGTTGAACAAAATCAGTGAAGAACTTAGTATATTTGGAAATATTTGCTGTTCATAGATAGGAGACAAATATTTTAAAGATGTGAGTTCTTCCCAATAATCTCTGCAAGTTATTTGGTGGTTATCAGCAACTTGATCCTAAAGTTTATATGAAAAGGCAGAATATCCAAAATAGCCAGTACAATAGTAAGGATAAACAATATGGTAACGAATCCTTAGAGATATGCAAATGTAAACCTTAATGATAAACCAACTAACACTCATTTTAATGACTATTATGAAACACACACACAGGCATACACACAACAGAAAATAACAAATATTGGTAATAATGTGGTGAAACCCTTTTGGACTGCTGAAAAGAATGTAAAACAGTGAAGACCCTATGAAAACCGTATGGCCAATCCTCAAATAATGTAACATAGAATTACTATATATTAAAGCACTTTTATTCCTCAGTATATATCCAAAAGGATTTAAAGCAATGTTCAAATAAATATTTGCACATTTATGTTTAGGACAGCATTATTTACATTAGCCAAAAAACGGAAGCAAGGCAAGTGTTCATTCATAGATGAATGAATACACAAAATGTGGTATAAACATAAAAGAGAATACTTGTTAATCCTAAAAAGACAGGAAATTCTGACACATACCACAACATAGATGAACCTTAAATACAGTGTGTAAGACTTAGTAAAATAAGCCAGTAACAACAGAATAGAGTTATATGAGGTGTCGATGAAAAGAGTCTAACTCAGTAAAATATTTTAAGAGATTCATTCTGAGCCAAATATAAGTGACCATGGCCCAAGACACAGCCCTCAGGAGGTCCTGAAAACATGTGCCCAAGGTGGTCGGGGTACAGCTTGGTTTTATATATTTTAAGAAGGCAAGAGACATCAAATACACCTAAGAAATACATTGGTTTGGTTCAGAAAAGTGGGACAACTCAAAGCAGGGGCTTCCAGGCTATTGGTAAATTTAAACATTTTCTGGCTGACAATTGGTTGAGTTTATCTGAAGACCTGGGATTAATGGAAAGGAATGTTCAGGTTAAGATAAAGGATTGTGGAGACCAAGTTTTATTGTGCAGAGGAATCTCTCAGATAGCAGACTTCGGAGAGAGAGAGAGCAGGTTGTAAAATGTTTCTTATTGAACCTAAAAGGGTTCCTGGCTTTTAGTTGATTATCACCTGTATCGGAAAGAAAGGAGAGAAAACAAAGGGGAAAAGATATTCTCTATAGAACATGAATTTTTCCAAGAGACTTTGAAGGGCAATTTCTAGGTATAAGGAAATATATTTTGGGGTAAAATGCTTAGATTGTTCCCTTGTTATGCCAGAGTCAGTTTGGAAAGTAAGTCACAATATACAGGGTTAAATAAAACCCATCTAATGAAAATTTATGGTTTGTAGGGCATGACTCCCCAGACCCCTTAGAAAGGAATTTGGGCAAGATAAAAAATCAGAGCTTAGTCCTCAGAGGTAACTAGAGTAGTCAAATCTATAAAGAAGAAAAATAGAACAATGCTTCCCAGCAGTTGTTAGTAGGGGAAAATGGTGAGTTACTGTTTAAGGGACATTGGGTTTTAACCTGAGAGGAAGAAAAATTTCTGGAGATGGATGTAGTGATGGATGAACAACAAGATGAATACACTCAATGCCACTGAACTATACACTTAAAAATAGTTAAAATAGTAAGTTTTAAGTTATGTACATTTTACCACAATAAAAAATGTACAAAGAAAAATAGAGAAGACTGAAATTTACAGAAAATATCATAAAGGAGAATGCAGACATGAAAAATTTTCCCCCAGTGATGAGTATGTGTTGCTGGACACAAATTTAAGAAAAAGCAGAAACTAGGAAACACCATAGTCCTAGTGTCTCGGTTCTTTCATGCTTCTGTCACAAAATACCACAGATTGCATAATCCATAAATAATATTTATTTCTCATAGTTTTGGAGGCTGAGAAGTTGAAGTTCAAAGCATGAGCATGTCAGTTGTCTGTTTAGGGCCCTCTTCTCAGGGTTGATGCTGACTAGGTGCCCTAACATGGTGAAAGGGCAGAAAGAAAGAGGCAGCTCTCCGAAGCCTTTTATAGACATTAATCCCATCCATGATTCCAGCCTGGAGGATCCATGGGCATACAACTCAAACACAAATTCACATCAGAATTGGGATGACTACAGAGATCTAACATGGTGGTGGGGCCACCCTTTGCATTGGGGCAGGTCCACACATCCCAGTGTATCTAAAAGGTAGGATCCCAACTCCAGTGTGTCCAGAAGAGAAGGTTGGGCCCTGACCCAGTATGTCTGGAAGGTGTGCCCATCTCCAATTTCCAGTTGGCCTGGAGGGCAAGCACTAAACCAAAGAAGATTATTCTCAAGCTGTAAAATTTAAAATTATTTGCCCTATTGTATTTCATACTTATTTGGAAACTATTAGTTTTTATTCTCTTATATTTCTCCATTTTGGAATAAGAATGCTTATCCTATGTCTGTTTAACCACTGTATTTTGGAAGCACATAACATGTTTGACTTTACAATTTCACTGTTGGAGAGCAATGTTTCACAGAATAAAACTTACCTTGAATTTCACCCACAAACAATTTAGATGATATTCAGATGAGACTTTGTACTTTACAGTTTTGTGTTGGCGCTGGAAGAAGTGAAGACTTTTGGGGCTTTGGTGATGTCATGAATGTATTTTGTAGGTAAGAAAGACAAAAATTCAGGGGCATCAGGGGAAAATGCTATGATTTGAATGTTTGTATTCTCCGCAAAATTCATATGTTCAAATCCTAACCCTCAAGTTTATAGTAGTAGGAGGTATGGGGGTAAAACTGTCATGAATGAGACTAGTGCCCTTATAAAAGAGATCCAAGAGAGATTCCCCATCACTTCTGGTATGTGAGTTTACAGTGAAAAGGTGGCCACCTATGAGAAAGTGGGCCCTCATTAGACACCAAATCTGCTGATGCCTTCATCTTGGACATTACCCCCCTCTCCAAAATTGTAAGAAACAAATTTCTGTCATATATGAGCTACCCACCAGCCTAAAAAGACTAAGAGAGTTAACATTTGTTTTTTCATGGGATACCTGGGTTTGTACCTTATTCTCTAAATACACTTGTTAGTAATTTTCTGTTGCCATAACATTATTCCATAGACTAGATAATTTATATATAAAATACTTTCATTTAACTCACAGTTCTGGAGCCTGGGACATCTACAAGCATGGCACCGGCATCTGGTAGGTGCCTTCTTGCTGAATTGTAAAATGGTGGAGGGCATCACATCACCAGAGGGCAAGAGTGTGCCAGCTCAGGTCTCTCCTTTTCTTCCAATAAAGTCACTAACCCATCATGAGGATCCCACACTCAGGACCCCATCTAACCCTAATTACCTCCAAAAGGCCCTACGTCCATCTATACATGATCAACATATAAATTTGGGGGTTAAGTTTCAAACACATAAACTTTGGGATACATATTCAAACCACAGCAATATTTATATTTTAAAACATATTTTCATAATAAGTAAAATAAAATAAGAATATTCATACTGGGAATGTTAGAAATCACTGTATAGAACATGGCCTTAAAACTATAAGGTTAAATATATTTTGAAGCAGGTTTGTATAGTCATAAAATAATTTAGTGTACCACCCAGATAATATCTTACTTTGAGTCATGTAAGTGCCCAAAACCCTACAAAATCCTGAGATAATCAATAATTAATAAATACATGTGGAACAAACTCAAAAAGGAGAAAAATGTACATAGAATAAATACATTTGGAACAAATTCAAAAAGGAGAAAAATGTATATAGAATAAAAAATTAATAAAGAAAGCCAACAACCATAAGAAAAGAGATGATCATATCACCAGTCACTAAGGAAATGCAAATCAAAACCACAATGAGATATTACTTCACACCCATCAGAATAGTTATTTTAAAGAAAATAAAAAGTGGCTGGACTCGATGGCTCATGCCTGTAATCCCAGCACTTTGGGAGGCCTAGGCAGGTGGATCACCTGAGGTCAGGAGTTCAAGACCAGCCTGACCAACATGGTGAAACCCCATCTCTACTAAATACAAAAAATTAGCCGGGCGTGGTGGTGCATGCCTGTAATCCCAGCTACTTGGGAGGCTGAGGCAGGAGAATCGCTTGAACCCAGGAGGTGGAGGTTGCAGTGAGCCAAGATTGTGCCATTGCACAATCTTATTGCCTGGGCAACAAGAGTGAAGCTCCCTCTCAAAAAAAAAGAGAAAAAGAAAAACAAAAAGTAACAAACATTGATGAGGATGTGGAAAAATCAGATCACCTCTGCACTGTTGGTGGGAATGAAAAGTTGTACAGCCAATGTGAAACACATTATGGTGATTCCTCAGAAAATTACAAATATTACCATAGGATCAAGCAATACCACTTCTGAGTATATATCCAAAAGAATTTTAAGTAGGATCTCAAAGAGATATTTGTACACCCACATTTATAGCAGTGTTATTTATAATGAACAAAACGTGAAGCGATCTTAATGTCATATGCATATAGGATTAAACAAAATGTGGTATGTCCATATAAGAAAATATTAGCCTTAAAAAAAAATGACACATTACACAACATAGATGAACCTTGAGGATGTTATGCTAAGCAAAATACACAAGTCACAAAAATGCATATACCATATAGCTCCACTTAAATGAAGCATATGAACTAGTCAAATTTATAGAAACATAAGGTAAAATGGTGGTTGCCAGGGGCTCAAGAAGGGAAAAATGGGCAGTTGTAATTACTGGGTATAGAGTTTCAGATTTGCAAGATGAAAAAGCTTAACAGATTGGTTGCACAATTATGTGAATGTATTTAATATTACTGAATGGCAAACCTACATGTTCTGCACATGTATCCCATTTTTTAGAAGAATTAAAGTAAAATAAATAAATGCTTTTAATATAAAAAAAAGAAAAAAGTCTCATGAGATTTTTTCTATTGAACCAAGTTCCATCAAAGCCAATGTAAATAAGCCTATATAAAAAATAATTATCCTTGCTGCACTTTATACAAATAATATGGCCAAGT
Source organism: Homo sapiens (assembly GCF_000001405.40). Classification (NCBI taxonomy): domain Eukaryota; kingdom Metazoa; phylum Chordata; class Mammalia; order Primates; family Hominidae; genus Homo; species Homo sapiens. The sequence continues at coordinate 4,581,610 of NC_000024.10, read as the reverse complement.
ATAATAAAGCAAATTGATTCTACCATAATTTGACTTTAGTAAAAATGGGAAACAGGAGAGAGAAAAATTATGTTTCAAAAACTACAATACACCTGTTGTTAGATCCTAGTCTTGTCTAACATTTTTCAGTTTTTATTATTTTCTACAGTTTGGGCTGAATTATAATTTTTCCTGACAACAAATCTTTAAAATAATATTTTCATTTTTTCTTCTTTCTTTTCCTTTTCCCCCAATTTTTCCTAACTTGAAACCATTGAAAACTAAGCTGTGCTTTCATTAAGCCCTACAAACTATAGCTAGACAACTTAAATTTTAGAAGAAAATAACAGCAGCCTATTTACGTACATAAGCCACTTTCATACCTGCCTAATGATGAATGCACTTCAGAGTTTTGTGGCCTATATTGATTTTCCAGTATTGTTCTTTTGCTTGTTGTTTTTATTCCTTCCTTCCCCTACGTTCTCTTCCTAGGACATGACTTCACAACCTGATAAAAACGAGCTTTCCTAATAACTCATGACCTACCTGTCTAGGAATAAACCATCCTAGCCATGTGAGATCAGAAGAAACCTGAGACCAGAGACTCATTTTCTTCTAAAATGCTTTCTTCAAAAAATTTTTAAAAAGAAAGAAATTGTGAAAGGAATAAAATCTTGGGGTCCCCAAATCACTAAGCTAAGGGAAAAGTCAAGCTGGGAACTGCTTAGACCCAACCTGCCTCCCATTCTTTTCAAAGTCACCCCTCTTCTCACTGGGATAAATGCATACCTGATTGCCTGCTTTGGAGAGGCTAATCAGAAACTCAAAAGAACACAACCATTTGTCTCTTATCTACCTGTGACCTGGAAGCCCCTTCTCCACTTTGAGTCATCCTGCTTTTACTTTGAGTTGTCCCGCCTTTCCAGACTGGACCAGTGTTCATCTTGCATATGTTGATTGATGTCTCATATCTCCCTAGAATCTATAAAACCAAACTGTGTTCTGACTACCTTGGCACATGTCATCAGGACCTCCTGAGGCTGTGTCCTGCGTGCACATTCTCAATCTTGTCAAAATAAACTTCCTAAATTAACTGAGACCTGTCTCAGATTTTCAGGGTTCACATCTTCTTTACCAAAAATACTTCTTTATATCTTTAACTTTCTTTACATCTCTTATTTTATGGTAACTTTTACCTTGTTTTATACATAACCTTTAAATAAGCCTTTAATTAGACAAAGATATTTGCCTTTTAATAAGAACTTTTTTAAAAAAATGGTTTTCTATAATTTTTAAATTGGAAATTACTCAGATACCTGATATCAATTAATAACTTTGAGATCCTAAATTATGACGTTTGTTTACAAGCATTTATTAAATTACATTTAACTGATTAATTTATTCAATATTAATCATTTACCTAGATTACTTACAAAAACTGTGATACTCAATATTTAAAGTTATTTCTTTGTTAACTGTTTTTACACCTGTGAATTTCAGGTATTTACTTCAGAAACTTAAAGTTAAATATAAGGGTATTTTTTACCAATACCTCAAGATTTAGCTGTTTTCATTAAACCAACAACATTCCATGTCTTATTTATCAAAAATTATGCAAGCAAAGATCATTGTGTCTTGGGCTGGGTATTATACTTATATAACCCTTATGGCAAATCGTATAGTATTCTACAGGAGTAAGCATGAAACCACTTGATCAACAAATGGAAATAAAAATGCTATCGATTCTTAAGAAATTTCTAATATTATTTGATATGTTTTGGGTGTGTCCCCACTCAAATCTCAACTTGAATTGTATCTCCCAGAATTCCCACTTGTTGTGGGAGGGACCCAGGGGGAGATAATTGAATCATGGAGGCTGGTCTTTCATGTGTTATTCTTGTGACAGTGAATAAGTCTCACGAGATCTGATGGGCTTATCAGCAGTTTTCACTTTTGCTTCTAGCTCATTTTCTCTTGCTGCCACCATGTAAGAAATGTCTTTTGCCTCCTGCCATGACTCTGAGGCCTCTCCAGCCATGTGGAACTGTAAGTCCAATTAAACCTCTTTTACTTCCCAGTCTCAAGTATGTCTTTATCAGCAACATAAAAACGGACTAATACATATTTTACCTATAACTTTAAGGCCAACTTATTTATTAAAGATTTTACTTAAGTCATGTGAACTTGAAAAAGCATTTAGTTAGGCTTTTCTTTTAAGTATTTGATTTAGATTCTTTTATTTTTAAGCCAATTAATTAGAGCACTTTTATATATTTTTAGTAGTGAAATATTATTTACACAGCACATAAACACATAGACATATTAGGCATGATGAATCTTATAGATTCATAAGACCCCTTTTCTTTTTTCTTTTTTTTTTTCTCCTATCATAGGCTTTCAAATTCTTGATAACCTGATTCACCACCTTAGGCAGTTGTCAGCTAAATAGCCTTAACTCTGAATATTAAAGGAAACAACTCTTAGGTAAAAATCAGATACCAAAATTTACAAAGAAAAAAAGTCTGGTGTGCTAGAAAAAAATTAAAATGGATTTAATTGTCAATTAAACATATAATTATAGAAATTATAAAGGCATTTTAAATATACGCACACACACAAACACACACACACACACACACACACGCAGATCACAGAGATCCTATAGCTTTTACTTCAGAACCGTGAGATAAATACAAATTCACCAACTTGCAAAAAACAAACAAACAAACAAAAAAAACCTGTTAAATCCAAACAATGGTTTTTATTGCAGTAGAAAAAGAGCAGATTTAAAGCAGGCAGAAAAGAAAAATAGAGAAAAACAGAACTTAGGAACTCTATAGTTTGCAGATCTACCTTAGGGGTATTTTTCCTCAACGTAAATGTGCACAAAGACCATAATACTTCCATTTTATATGAACTCTGGCAAGTAGAGGTGTCATAAAACCAATGGAGTGACCCAAAGGAGGGTCATTCTTTTTTTTTCCCCCCCCATTCTTAGACTGTTTCCCACTTTTTTTTTTTTTTTTTTTTTTTTTTTACAAGGAACTGAGCTATGGCCTAGGGCTTTTGTGCAGTGGGTTGAAATGTGTGTTAGTGATGGTACTGGCTGCTGCCATCATGCCGGCTGCAGCAGGGAAACCCAGCTAGGCCTACACACTCTACGGAGTGAGTTCAAGCCCTGCCCCTTCTGAGTTGGGAAGGGAGTTCCTTGTGCTACTGCAGCTGCCCAAACCCCAAAGGGCTGCTGCAGACCCAGTCCTCCTTTACAGAGCAAGCAGGAGCCCCACCCTCCTGGGCGGGGCTGCACCTACCCAAACTGCAGCTATGGATCCAAGCCTCTGAGTGCTCTTGGCGGAGCCAGGAACAGGCCAGATCTGCTTTCCCCGTGCAGCTGCAGCCTATGCACCTGTGGCTGCAGACCTAGGCGTTCTGTTCCAGGAAGAAGGCAGGAGCCGGTGACAAGAGGGAGGGAGCCCTACCCCTTTTCAGTTGGTGGGGCGGGAGCTCCCAGGTGCAGCTGCGGCCGCCCTCCTAGACACAGGACCCAGGCATCTCTGCAGCCTGCGCCCTCAGAGGCCCCAGGAAGGACCCCCTCATCCCTGCAGGCTCAGGGATGTCTGCTTCCACCTGCCTGACCACTCTCCTCTCCGGGCACCTTCTCCAATTTCAGAGCAGGCTTTGGGCTGAGCCCCAGGGGCCATGAATGACAGCAGGAAGCAAACTGGTTCCTGGGCAGAAGAGGCCTGGTCCCCAGTAAGGCCCCACATTCAGGCTAGGGAGGGCATGAAGGCTGGGGGCTGGGCTACCAGTCCTGAGGACTGGAGTGGGGACTCAGGTGCCTCTTCTGGGCCCACCCATGGCTGCCCATGGACCAATCAGCATGCACTTCCTTCCCTCTGAGGTTTATAAAAGCCCTGGGCTCAGCCAGAGCAGGGCAGAGGATGGCCAGAGGATGAAGAGAGCAGAGGACGGGCAGACAACCAGCTGCAGAAAGGAGTACCCTCTCTGCTGATGGCTGGAGATGATGGGATGACCAGCTGCAGAGAGCTGCAGAGACAACCTGCCATGAAAGAGGTGCTACCTTCTCTGTTGAGAGCTTCAGAGACCTGCAGCAATGTCAAAATGACTTGCTGCAGAGAGGAGTCACCCTCTCTAGAGCCTCCTCTCTGCTAAGATCTGAACGTTTCACTGGGCAACCTGTCTATAGAGAGGAGCTACCCACTCCTCTGAGCTGTTCTAACATCAAATAAAACTCTTCTTCTTCACCTTTCACTTGCTTGCATACCTCATTATTCCTGGAGGTAGGACAAAAACTCAGGCAAAGGCGCTGCGGCCATAGAGGTTTCCAGTAAGAAAAATTGACACCCCAGATATCCTGTAAAATTAACCACTGAGTTATTGCTGCCCTCTTACATGTATCTTTCCCTCTCCAGAGGTCTAAGCCCCTTCAGCAGGGCCCAAAGTATGAAGCAACCAGCTCCTGTATACACTTGCAGGACGAGCCTGTTTTGAACTAATTTCATTGGGGGTTCCCTGTACGGCTGCTGTAAATCACGGAGGGTCAACACCCCAGACAATCCCACGAGGCCCCCAGTAACCCAGGGTGCCTTTCAGCTGGAAGGAACAAAATGCCCTTTCTTTTCCAAGCTGAGTAAACTCAGTCTCATTTACTTATGAAAACAACAGTACAGTTCCTCATGCAAATGCGCCCAGCCAAGCCAAATCAAGATTAATTTCGGGAGAAAAAGCAATGGAGAAGACCCTTTAAAATGCACCTCTGAACTACAATTAGGATCCTTAAACAACAACTTCCTAGAAGAGCAAAAATAAAAGCTCAGAATAAATCAAGGACCTTTCATCAAAGGGAGGTTCTGGGCTCAGGAGGACTTAGCAGTTCCACCAGAGGAGAAGCTCAAAGTCGTGGAGGCTTCAATGGGCCCCTGCTGATAACTTAGCTCTGAGTTTGGGCAACTCCTTTGGAGTCCTGAGTCTTCTCTGAGGCCCCACGTGTTTGGGTGCCAAATTATTATCGATGAAAAGCGTCAAAATCTGTAAAATATTTGAAGAGATTTATCCTGAGTCAAATATGAGTGGCCACGGCCCATGACACAGCCCTCAGTAGGTCCTGAGAACATGTGCCCAAGGTGGTCAGGATGCAGCTTAGTTTTATACATTTTAGGGAGGCATGAGACTTCAATCAAATACATTTATGAAATACATGTGTTTGGTCCAGAAAAGTGGACTTGAAGTGGGGCGTCTTCCAGCTTATAGGGAAATCTAAAATTTTTCTGATTGACAATTGGTTGAGTTTATCCAAATACCTGAGATCAATAGAAAGGAATGTCTGGGTTGCAATAAGGTTGTGGAGGTGAAAGTTTTATCATGCAGATGAAGCCTCTAGGTAGCAGGCTTTAGAGAGAATAGATTGTAAAATGTTTTTTATCAGACTTAAAATCTGTGTTGATATTAATGCCAGAGAGGTATAATAAGGATGTCTGACCCCTATTTTCGATCATGGCCTGAACCAGTCTTTCAAGTTAAATTTTAAGAGCCCTGTCTGAGGAGGAAGTCCATTCAGATGGCTTGGGGCCTTAGAATTTTAATTTTGGTTTCCACAGTGCATTGCCAGCCAAGAAAACTCACCTGAGCTTTAGTTTCCATATTTTTGGAGGGCTTCATTATATAGGTATGACTGACCAAATAATTGGTTATTTGAGCTCAATCTTCAGCCTCATTCCATTCTCTGGAGGTTAGACAAAGATATCAAGTAGCCCAAAGCCCCAACTCTCTGATGGTGTTTTGCTTTTTCTTTTATGACCAGCCCCCATTCTGCTGGTCATTTTATTACCATAAACTATTTAGTGTTCTGACACGATGCACCTCATTAGCATAAACTTAGGTTGGTTCCAGATCCCACAATGAATAACAAAAACCTTCTGTCATTTGAAAAACTCCAGGGGTTTAGAAGTTACCTCTCAGGAACCAGGGACAAAGTCCCAGACAATGATCTTGTTTATGCAAGTTTTCAAAAAACAAACTGCACGTGGAGCATAGTTCTAATTATTTCAACATATTTTAATGGAAATATAATGGGAAATATACGCAAAATTATTATATGTGCCAATTTCTCTGTTGTTGGATTGTATTCTTTATGTTTTTATTTTCTACTTTTCTAAAATGAGCATACATTAAATGTATAATTAGAAATATATATATTAATTAGAAATGACTTTGGAAGAAATGCATTTGGAGAAAAGTGTTAGTAAAGGTGACATTTCCTTTCTTGGAATTGTTTTAGATGTTTTTCAAGTTACTGAAAATTGATTAGAAAAAGTCTTAAGGTAAAACATTCAAAATTCTATTCCATAAAAGATAGTGAAAATATGTGAAATCTTTTGATCTACTAATGTGAGATATAGTCGCTTTTAAATAATAAATTTCTTCTTTGGTAAATCCAGTAGCAGGCTTTGTTTTCAAAAAAGTGTCTTTGCAAATTGCATAAAAGATATTAAAGTAAAAGCATCTGAACTGCAGTAGTAGCTCTCAACATAGTTATTATCTTGCACTATGTTAAATTTTGAACTTAAAAATGATTCTTAAAACTAGTATATGTAATGAATGTCTTAGTAGACAACATCTTATTCTCTACATCTCAGCATGTTCAACTCTAAAAATATATGCAAATTATTCCTTTTCAAACCAGAATGTGAGGAACATCTTGAATCATCACAGGAGACTAACAAATTATACAGTGGTGTTCACTTAAATGAGTACCTGTTAAAGAGCTAAGGCACTTTTGTAGAACACTTAACTCTATGAATCAAACCAAAATATACACAGAAAATATATGTGAATGATTTTTCAATACAAATGACTATTGAAAATGCTGTCTGTTTGAAAATGCACAAACACATACACACATACAAATCCAAGATAAAAGTAAAAATAACAAAAATGACTTGAAAAAATAATAAAATAAACGTAACTGTGTATTATGTATACCTGAATCAAGTGCTCTTGTTAATCAAGAAACATGCATCCATTAATTTTTAAAAAATGTGTGTGTGTGTTTTTCACAATTCATAGGGTAACAATAAATACAAAGTTCTCTCTGTAGAAGCAAGAAAATTAGAAATTAAAAACCTATTATAATAAAGTAAGCTTATAATCTGAACAGACTTTGATATTTCATTTTAATCAAGAGGCAAACCAATTTATTTAAGAAAAACATGCAAAAGTTCATAAGAAGTAGCAATTTACTAACTGTATGAAGATATATCTTCTTTGTACCTGTAAGATAGCTCATAAAAGCACTGCCAAATCAGAATATTGTGGCATTGACATTAAGGCATATTGTTTCATATAGTCTCTGACTAAGCCACAATTATGCATATTTTCTGGAGATAATCTCTTATCCCAACTAGTGAAGTTATAGAATGAATAAAATATGCTATAGAGCCTAGAGAAGTAGGTTAAATAACGTAACCTTCATCCTACAATTCTGATTACAGCTTTCCAGGTTGTCTCTTTGTTCTGGCTTTAAAATTTAGTTGTTTTTCACAAAGAGGTTGCAATTATGCATTTTAGCTATTCAGTGTCTGTGACACTTGCACAAACTACTTTGTGAGAGTATAAAACATTTAAAATCAATGTTGCATTCCTTGCGTTCCTATTTTGAATTTTTTCTCCCATGTTTATTTTTAAACTCCAAGCACAAATTTAGAAAAAAGCCTTAGGTGAGTAAATGTATATTTGCTTGTTCAATATTTATAATGTAATTTATTTTAAAATATTCTGGTAATTGAAAAATACTGCGATAATAAAAATATACGCACATAAAATAACAAAGAAAACAATAAAAGAATAGAAATGGTGATCATACTTATATTCACTTTAAATAACCTGAGAAACCTCATATAACTGTAAGCAACGTTAAAAATCATGTATTTTAAAATTATCATTATCACCTTGTCCAAAATATGTGGTCCCATATTAAGTAACACTAACCAGGTTTTGATAATTCTAGCATATTTCAAATCGTTCATTGCATTTCTGGCTCATGTTAAGTTGAGAAGTCATATCAAGGAACTATTTATTTCAGCTTTTGGCTCTTATTCATGTATGAAGTTCATAACGCAGTTAAATTAGCCACAAATTGAACTGTGATTATACAGTAAAATGCAATGTGAACAATCTACTTGTGTAGATTTTTTAGTCTCAGTTGATGCTTGCTTTCAGAAATGATTTTTAAAAGTTGATAAAATTTTAACTCGGTTTCTTTTTGATTCAAAAACAAATTAAAATATGTCTTCATATTACTGATTTACTCTGCCAAGAAAAAATTATATGTTTTATGAAATTCTATTTTTTCTGTCAGTATGATAATTGAGAGAATATAAGGTTGTCCTAGGTCTTTATTACATATTTAAAAACTGTTTTCAAGGAGACTGCTTTTATGTTTTCCCATATAATATTTATTATATACCAAACATTTATATTTTCAAAATGTACAGCTAGTATTGAGGGAATGAGAAGATCACATAAAAAAGAAAACAATGAACAGACCATTGAAAAATTAATGGACTAAGTAAATATATTATATTGGGGAAAAGAAAAAAAGGAGAAAACTAACATGTATAAAGAAGAGAATGGAATAAAATGGTAATTAATCTTGCTAAAAGAGTGAAAATACACCTTTAGAAGCTGATTCAAACTGTTTTATCAAAATATAAACATAAAAGAAGAAAAATGTTATTTCCTATAAATTACATAAATAATTACTCACTAGGTTTATTTATTTGTTCTTAATGGGAAAATATCTTCAAAAGGTCAAGAAAGACATAATTTCTAAAATGTGTTTTCAATATTCAAGAACATTGCTCATGATTGACCAAAGGTAGTAACTTGAAGAGAAAAAAAAGGCATGAGAAAAAGTGGGTTCTATACTTTTAAAAGTTGAAATTATATTCAGCAGATTTATGCTTTCATAATTTTTAAAAAGTTTGATTTTTATATATTTTCATTTATTTTTCAAGTATTTTTTCTAAATTTTACTGAGTATAATTTCCAATGGGGTTTAGTCTATCCAAGCTTTAATCTGGTTATTCATCATTCAGAAATAGAGTAACCTTCCAATACAAAAATGCCTTATATCAATGTTATTTGTTGGTTGAAGACTTTAAAATGAAAAATTACACATTACTTATGCTAGTGGGTAAATTCCAGATATATTAATTATTACTACAAGTTATAGATAATTTACTAACTTAAAGATAGCAGAGCTATGAGTTATGAAAGGTTACCAATAAGTAGAAATAAGTAGTGTTTTCAGATTTTGTCCATTGACTATATTGTTTGTGTAACATTTCACAACATATGTGGATAACTTTGTCTTTATTCTGGCTCTTAATGTTTTTTCTAAGTTTTAAACACAGTACTGTGACCGGAATTGGTGGGTTCCTGGTCTCACTGACTTCAAGAATGAAGCCGCTGACCCTCACGGTGAGTGTCACAGTTCTTAAAGATGGTGTGTCGGGAGTTTTTTCCTTCAGATATTCAGATGTGTCCAGAGTTTCTTCCTTCTGGTGGGTTCGTGGTCTCGCTGGCCTCAGGAGTGAAGCTGCAGACCTTCACGATGAGTGTTACAGCTATTAAGGCAGTGCATCTGGAGTTGTCCATTCCTCCTGGTGGGTTCATGGTCTTGTTGTCCTCAGGAGTGAAGCTGCCCTCAGGAGTGAAGCTGCCCTCAGGAGTGAAGCTGCAGAGCTTTGCAGTCAGTGTTACAGCTCATAAAGGCAGAGCAGACCCAAGCAGTGAGCAGCAGCAAGATTTATTGCAAAGAGGGAAAGAACAAAGCTCCCACAGTGTGGAAGGGGGACCCCAGCGGGTTGCCACTGCTGCCCCCGCAGCCTGCTTTTATTTCCTTATCAGGCCCCACCCACATCCTACTGATTGGTCCATTTTACAGAGAGCTGATTGGTCCATTTTACAGAGGAGAGCTGATTGGTCCATTTTGATAGGGTGCTGATTGTTGTGTTTACAATCCCTGAGCTACACAGAGTGCTGATTGGTGCATTTACAACCCTCTAGCTAGACATAAAAGTTTTCCAAGTCCCCACTAGATTAGCTAGTCACAGAGCACTGATTGGTGCGTTTAGAAACCTGTAGCTAGACACAGTGCTGATTTGTGCATTTACAAATCTTGAGCTAGACACAAAGTGCTGATTGGTGCATTTACAAACCTTGAGTTAGACACAAAGTGCTGATTGGTGCATTTACAAACCTTTAGCTAGACTTAAAAGTTCTCCAAGTCCCCACCTGATTCAGGAGCCCAGCTGGCTTTACCTAATGGATCTCACACAGGGGACGTGGGCAGAGCTGCCGGCCAGTCCCGCACCGTGCGCCCGCACTCCTCAGCCCTTGGGAGGTTGATGGGACTGGGCACCATGGAGCAGGGGGCAGCACCTGTGGGGGAGGCTTGGGCCGTGCGGGAACCCACCGCAGGGGGGCTCGGGCATGGCGGGCTGCCAGGTCCCAAGCCCTGCCCTGCGGGAAGGTGGCAGAGGCCCCACGAGCATTAGAGCGTGGTGCGGGTGGGCCAGCAGTGCTGGGGGACCCAGCGCCCCCTCCGCAGCTGCTGGCCCGGGTGCTAAGCCCCTCAATGCCCGGGGTCGCTCTGAGTATGGGGCTCGCTGAGTCTGCGCCCACCCGGGACTTGCGCTGGCCCATGAGCACCACGCGCAGCCCGGGTTCCTGCCCGCACCTCTCCCTCCGCACCTCCCCACAAGCAGAGGGAGCTGGCTCCAGCCTTGACCAGCCCAGAGAGGGGCTACCACAGCGCAGCGGTGGGCTGAAGGACTCCTCAAACATGGCTAGAGCAGACGCCGAGGCCGAGGAGGTGCTGAGAGTGAGTGAGGGCTGCTAGCACGTTATCACCTCTCAGTACCATCTTAAATCAATTTAACTAATAACAAAAAAAACCTTTATTTTTCAAATGTTATTTATTAAGACAATAGATTTCTCACAATTTGCAATTTGAGTTTAGAAAATGTATCTCAACTGTTTTTTTCCCCAGAATCATCCAAATCACGGGAAAGGAGATAAATTATTATCTACCTAAAGTAATGGGCTAGGGAGGAGCTTCAAGATATCCAATGGGGCATATCTCAACTATAACCATAATTTATTTTGTAGACTTTTTAATTTAGTGATCAATTTTCTCTCTAAAATTAGAATAACTCAACAGATAAATTCATTAAAAGTATATATAACATACAGAGTATATATACACTGTATATGGTATATGTATATTACATATGAGAAATACTTCCTTGTATTTTTATATTAGCCCTAAAATGAAGAAATGATTGATTTTATAAATCAGCGTGGACCTGAGATGAGAGTGTCAACAAGAATAAAACTGACAAAAAAATCCCCATCACTTCTGAAGAGGGTCAGAATCAAGAACAATTCACCTAATCACCCAGGCTTATAATTTTTAATTAATTATCTACTATGAAAGGAATTATATTAACACCAAAACATAACAGTATTTTTTTTCTTTTTTTTTAAATTTATTTTATTTTAGGTTCTGGGGTACATGTGCAGAATGTGCAGGTTTGTTACATAGGTAAACCTGTGCCATGGTGGTTTGCTGCACCTACCAACCCATCACCTAGGTATTAAACACCACATGCATGAGCTATTTGATTTGATGCTTTACCCTCTGCCACACCCCCCTCCGACAGGCCCCAGTGTGTGTTGTTCCCTTCCCTGTGTCCATGTGTTCTCATTGTTCAACTCCCACTTATGAGTGAGAACCTATGGTTTATTTTTCTGTTCCTGTGTTAGTTTGCTGAGGATGATGGCTTCCAGCTTCATCCATGTGCCTGCAAAGGACATGATCTCATTCCTTTTTATGGCTGCATAGTATTCCATGGTGTATATGTACCACATTTTTTTATCCAGTCTATCATTGATGGTGATTTGGGTTGGTTCCAAGTCTTTGCTATTGTGAATATTGCTACAATAAATGTATGTGTGCATGTATCTTTATAATAGAATGATTTATATCCCTTTGGGTATTATACCCAGTAATGGGATTGCTGGGTCAAAAGGTATTTCTGGTTCTAGATCCTTGAGGAATCGCCATATTGTCTGGCACAGTTGTTGAGCTAATTTACTTTCTAACCAACAGTGTAAAACCACTCTTATTTCTCTGCAGCCTCTCCAGCATCTGTTGTTTCCTGACTTTTTAATGATCGCCATTCTAACTGGCGTGAGATGGTATCTAAGTGTAGTTTTGATTTGCATTTCTCTAATGACCATAAACTGAACTTTTACCATTGTATTACAAAGGTAGTAATGCTTACACATTTGGTTCATCTGAGGAACTAATAATTTAGCTGCTACATATCAAAGCTGTCAGTACACTGATTATATCTCCCATGGAAGATATTTCTCATCTTTTGATTCAATGAAAGTTTCCTGTATGAAACCAAATTTCATACAGTTCTAAAAACTCCTTTAGAAAGTTACCATTTTAGTTTTGTTTTCTAGGCTAAAGCAATTTACTGTCTACCATCATATGTCTTATGTTTCAAAAAAATGCCTTTTTTTCTACAGAAAAAAAGTTATAAAATTAAATATAGGTTTAACAAGTAGGATTTCAAGATTATACATGGTGGTTTTGTGCTAGTTAAAAAAAAGAATATATAATGTTTTTACCAAATGAGAACATTATGTATAAATATATATACATATAATACATATTTAACATTGAGTTTTTAACTGGGGTAAAGGTTGTGGTATAAAGAATGAAAAAGAAGAGAGCTGGGAGGCATTTCAGGCATTGTGAAAGTATCTTTATTCACATCACAGCCTTGTTACATACAGAACAGTGAGGATATGCTTTCATATAACTGGCTATATCTCCCTAATTGGCTATATAAATTTCATTAATGTCATTGCTAACTTATAGAGTAGTAACACATAAAGGATCTTGACTGCTTTCAAATACTATGGATAATAAAAAAATAATTAAACTTGCCATTCCACTTTGTGTATTTAAGTATTATAACTAATTCATTAAGCTATGTTGACTATTATGAAGTCACAGGCAAGCAGAAAGAAATGGTCTTGATCAAGTTCTAGTCAGTAGTCCTGTGGTAAACTGACTACACGATGCATGTATCTGCTTCCTGTTGTTTGCCTGGATTCATGTGAGAGGTTTCCACCAGGGGATGCATCTGTAGTCTGTCAATCTATGTACATAGATATTGTAAATTGATCTGACCACATTCTAGAACTGCAGATTAATTTACTTGCCATTGGTACACTTGGTCTTATAACTCAGCCACTTACTCAGCCTAATCCTAAAGTTATTCCTTCCTGTGAATTGGAGAATGGTATCTTCAAATAAAGCTTCAAATAGCAAACATTTCATAAAGATCAACTCACCTTGAGATAACTAAAAGGTTCTTTCTACTTCAGCTCATTCTAGATGTCATTTCTCTCACAAACATCTCTGACCTACGCTTACTTCCATTTATTGCTTCATGCATAACTATTCATTAGTTTCTCACAAAACTAATCTCTGCTTGCAGAGATTGTTCTGTTTGAGATTTTTCTAAACCCCTAAGTAATAATAAATTCATGTAATAGAGAAGTTGAAACTTTCTGTGATAGTCTTAATGACTTCTTTATGGTAAAAGATATTTAAAGAAATTATCCTGAGAAGAAACATTTGCTAAAGAATTTATCTTTCTTTTCAATTTACCTCCCAAATGCAAAAGCATGATAGGATGAAATAGTAATACGTGTGAAAAAAATATTTTTCCAAATAAGAAAAGCCCCTCTGGCATTCTTTCTGCAGGGAATAATAGACCCAACTATAGCTTTATATTGATGAAATACAGTTGGGTGGTCAATGCATTTTCACAGTGGAATGAGACTCAATAGGTCTTTTTCATCTCTACTTCTAGATTCTCTGATCAAATATCAATACTTGACAATTTTAACCAGTTATATTTAAAAAACAGAAAACTACACATTGGAAAGAGAAATAAATACATAAATAAAATGTGTAGGAAGCAATGTGTACTCAAACTAAAAGTTCTGAATAAATTGTAGGGGATGGTATATTTAAGGCCTTACCCTTAAATTATAACTTCCTAAACAGGAACTGCATATAAAGAGTTGTTTTTCTTACTTAAAGTTTTATCAGATTTTTTTTATTAAGTAGATTATATTGTTCTACTTAATAAATAGAGATATATGGAAACATATAAAAATGCTCGACACCATTGGTTATTAGGGAAATACAAATTAAACCACAATGCACTACACAAGTATAAGAGTAGCAACAAAACAAACCACACAGATACCTGACAAGATCAAATTCTGGTTCGGATGCAGAGCAACAGGTTTATGGAAAGTTTTAATAACATAACTAGAAATAGCTACTTCCAAATTTAAAATATGATTAGAACTTTTATTGTCACTTAAATTGGACAGAAGATGAAAGTTTAGACAGATAATCTTTCACTTAAAGTTAAATGCAGTGAGAAGGAAACAGCCTATTAAATAACATTTAACGTATCTACAGCTAACATCTATACATAATGGTGAAAGAATGAATGCTATTGTAACATCAGGGTCAAGACAAATATCTGCTTTCACTACGCCTATTAGTATCACATTGGGGATCTTCGCCTGCAAAATAAGACAAAATGAAGAATTGACATACAGAGTGTATACTAAGAAACAAAACTGCTTCTATTTTCAGAGGACATGTCCATCAACATACAAAATGTACAAAAAGTTCTTAGATCTCATAAGTGAACTTAGCAAGGTCTCGTAATACAAGGAAAATATACAGAAATCAATCATATTATTATATTACAGCAATTAATACTTGGAATTTGAAGTTTTTAAATGACATCAGTTACAGTAGTACTAAATATAATTAAGTACTTGGGTATAAATTTAACATAACATGTGAAGAATGTCTGCACTGAAACTTACAAAACACTAGTGAAAGAAGTCAAATATCTAAATCAATAGAGATGAAAAAGATATTTTTCATGTTCATGAATTAGAAGATGCAATATTGTTAAGATGTCCTTTTTTCTCATTTGCTATATGCACTTAACGATATTTCTATCATAATCTCAGCAAGCTTTTATTCAGATATCAGAAGCTGATTCTAAAATATATATGGCAAAACAAAGGAACTACAATAGCTAAATCAACTCAGAAAAAGAAGAAAAAAGCTAAAGGGCTCCCACTATCCAATTTCAGGACTTATTATAAAATTATAATAATTAAGACAGTGTGGTATTGGAAAAAAGATAAACATACACATCAACAGAATAGAATAGACAGTTGAGAAATAGGCTTATATGAATATCATTTATTGCTTCTTTTTACAAAAATTCAATAATTTAATAAAGAATTTTTTTCAATAAATATTGCTGTATCAGTTGTAAATCCCTATGCAAAATAATAAACCACAGCATATACCTGATACATTATCCAAAAATTAACTGAAATATGTAATTTACCAAAATGTATAACAAAACTATAAAACATTTAAAAGCAAACATGAGGCAATATACAAAATCTTTAGTTTAACAATAAGATTTAAAGATAAAATGCAAAGCATGATCTACTTTAAAAATGTTAAATTAGGCTTTGTCAAGATTAGAATACTTTGCTCTGTAAAAGACACTGTAAGGAGAATGAAGAGGTAACACACACACTAAGAGAAAGTATTTGCAAATCAAATAACATATCCAATAAAATCTTACATGCACAATATATAAATAACTCTAAAAAGTCAACAATAAGGAAAAAAGCGACAAAATTAATAAATTTTAATAAATTTAATAAATTTTTTAAAAGTCTAAAAAGACACTTCACCAAAATAGGTATGTGAAAGCATATGAAAAAATGCTCAACATCATTAGTTATTAGCGAAATGCAAATTAAAACCACAAGGTACTACACAAGGATTAGAATGGCAACAAGACAAACATACACACACCTGACAAGATAAAATTCTGGAAATTATGCATGTTAACAGCAACTTTAGTTGCTAGATGGTATGCAAAATTGTTCAGCCACTTCTGAAAATGGTTTAGCAACTTTTTACATATGTAAATATACATTTATCATATCATCCAGTAATTCCACTCTTAGATATTTAACAAAAAGAATTGGAAACTTCTATTTACTAAAGGCATGCAAACACATATTTATAGCACTTTTTTTATAATCACAAAAGGAAGAACCAAGACACGCTTCAACAGGTGAATGGATAAACAACCTGTAGTATATCCATAGAATGTAATAATACTCAGCATGAAAAAGGAACGGTTGATTCACACAACAGTATGGCTAAATCTGATATACATTTTGGTAAGTGTTGTATTATCCAATTTGAAAGGCATTTGGGTAAAGGCAAAACTACAGGAATGATAAACAGATCTGCAGTTACCAAGGATTGTGAGAAGGAAGATTGCTTGACTACAAACAGGCCACGCAGGAAAATGTTAGGAAGATGGAGCTGTTTTGCATGGCACTACGGTGGTGGATACAGGACTAAGCATTTTTCAAAACCCATAGAACTGTACAATACAAAAGATGAACTTTATGGAAATTGGAAAAGAATAAAAACAAAAGCAGGATGTCAGGAAATCCCAGGATGGATTGCAGACAAGAAAAATGAACCCAACTGTATTATAAATGTATAACATAACTTCACTGAAGGGGTTGAAGAGAAAAATAACAAACCTAAGTAACTTTGGCAACCAGTGTTTTGACTAGATACAATAAACCAGGAAGGGAAGAATAAACCCCGTGGGGTATAACTAGCTGAGAAATATCAGTGTTTAAGTTAACATAGACATGAATATATAAATACAGAAATAACTATAGATGTATGTATTTATGTATGGGTTAGCATACATGCACTCATACATATTCTTTCTGGCTCAGTACACAAAGGCGGCTTAGAAAGGAAAGAAAGAGGGAAGGAAGAAGGAAGGAAGAAAGGAAGGGAGGGAGGGAGGGAGGGAGGAAGGGAGAAAGGACTCATGCTAAAAAGACACAGGAGCCAACATGAAAGAGCAGCTCCAATGACCAAATCTGAAAAAATTTGAGAAACAAAATTAATAATGATAGTTTTGGATTATACGCTAGAAACATTGATAAAGATTAGCAGTTCCATGGTATCTCATTGTGGTTTTGATTTGCATTTCTCTAATGACCAGTGATGATGAGCTTTTTTTCATATGTTTCTTGGCTGCATAAACGTCTTCTTTTGAGAAATGTCTGTTCATATACTTTGCCCACCTTTTGATGGGGTTGTTTGTTTTTTTCTTGTAAATTTGTTTAACTTCCTTGTAGATTCTGGGTATTAGTCCTTTGTCAGATGGAGAGATTGCAAAAATTTTCTCACATTCTCTAGGTTGCCTGTTCACTCTGATGACAGTTTCTTTTGCTGCACAGAAGCTCTTTAGTTTAATTAGATCCCGTTTGTCAATTTTGGCATTTGTTACCATTGCTTTTGGTGTTTTAGTCATGAAGTCTTTGCCCATGCCTATGTCCTGAATGGTATTGCCTAGGTTTTCTTCTAAGGTTTTTATGGTTTTAGGTCTTACATTTAAGTCTTTAATCCATCTTGAGTAAATTTTTGTATAAGGTGTAAGGAAGGGGTCCAGTATTAGTTTTCTGTATATGGCTAGCCAGTTTTCCTAACACCATTTATTACATAGGGAATCCTTTCTCTATTGCTTGTTTTTGTCAGGTTTGTCAGATGGTTGTAGATGTGTGGCATTATTGCTGAGGACTCTGTTCTGTTCCATTGCTCTACACATCTGTTTTGGTAGCAGTACCATGCTGTTTTGGTTATGGTAGCCTTATAGTATAGTTTGAAGTCAGGTAGTGTGATGCCTCCAGTTTTGTTCTTTTGGCTTAGGATTGTCTTGGCTATATGGGCTCTTTTTTTGCTTCCATATGAAATTTAAAGTAGTTTTTATCTAATTCTATGAAGAAAGCCAATGGTATCTTGATGGGGATAGCAAAGAATTTATAAATTACTTTGGGCAGTATGGCCATTTTCACGATATTGATTCTTCCTATCCATGAGCATGGAATGTTTTTCCATTTGTTTGTGTCCTCTCTTATTTCCCTGAGCAGCAGTTTGTAGTTCTCCTTGAAGAGTTCCTTCACATCCTTTGGAAGTTGTATTCCTAGATATTTTATTCTCTTTGTAGCAATTGTGAATAGTAGTTCACTCATGATTTGGCTCTCTGGTTGCCTACTATTGGTGTATAGGAATGTTTGTGATATTTGCACATTGATTTTGTATCCTGAGACTTTGCTGAAGTTGCTTATCAGCTTAAAGAGATTTTGGGTTGAGATGATGGGGTTTTTCTAAATATACTATCATGTCATCTGCAAACAGAGACAATTTGACTTCCTCTCTTCCTATTTGAATGCCTTTATTTCTTTCTTTTGCCTGATTACCCTGGCCAGAACTTCCAATACTATGTTGAATAGTAGTGGTGAGAGAGGGCATCCTTGTCTTTTGCCGGTTTTCAAAGGAAATGCTTCCAATTTTTGCCCATTCAGTATAATATTGGCTGTGGGTTTGTCATAAATAGCTCTTATTATTTTGAGATACTTTCCATCAATACCTAGTTTATTGAGAGTTTTTAGCATTAAGGAATGTTGAATTTTGTCAAAGGCATTTTCTGCATCTATTGAGATAATCATGTGGTTTTTGTCATTGGTTCTGTTTATATGATGGATTACGTTTATTGATCTGTGTATGTTGAACCAGCCTGGCAACCCAGGGATGAAGTAGGCTTGATTGTGGATGGATAAGCTTTTTGATGTGCTGCTGGATTTGGTTTGCCAGTATTTTATTGAGGATCTTCGCATCAAAATACATCAGGGATATTGGCCTGAAATTTTTGTTGTTGTTGTTGTGTCTTTACCAGGTTTTGGTATCAGGATGATGCTGGCCTCATAAAATGAGTTAGGGAGGAATCCCTTTTTCCTACTTTTTGGAATAGTTTCAGAAGTAATGTTCCAGCTCCTCTTTATACGTCTGGTAGAATTCGTCTGTGAATCTGCCTGGTCCTGGGCTTTTCTTCGTTGGTAGGCTATTAATTACTGTCTCACTTTCAGAACTTGTTATTGGTCTATTCAGTGATTTGACTTCTTCCTGGTTTAGTCTTGGGAGGGTGTATGTGTCCAGGAATTCATCCATTTCTCCTAGATTTTCTAGTTTATTTGCAGAGAGGTGTTTATAGTGTTCTCTGATGGTAGTTGGTATTTCTGTGGGATCAGTGGTGATATCCCGTTTATCATTTTTTAATGTATTAATTTGATTCTTCTCTCTTTTCTTCTTTATTAGTCTTTCTAATGGTCTATCTATTTTGTTAATCTTTTCAAAAACCTGGATTCATTAATTTTTTGAAGAATTTGTCATGACTCTATCTCCTTCAGCTCTGCTCTCATCTTAGTTATTTCTTGTCTTCTGCTAGCTTTTGAATTTGTTTGCTCTTGCTTCTCCACTTCTGTTCATTGTGATGTTATGGTGTTGATTTTAGATCTTTCCCGCTTTCTCCTGTGGGCAATTAGTGCTATAAATTTCCTTGTAAACACTGCATTACCAGTGTCACAGATATTCTGATATGTTGTGTCTCCGTTCTCATTGTTTTCAAAGAAATTATTTATTTCTGCCTTAATTTCCTAATGTACCCAGTAGTAATTCAGGAGCAGATTATTCAGTTTCCATGTAGTTGTGCAGTTTTGAGTGAGTTTCTTAATCCTGAGTTCTAATTTGATTAAACTGTGGTCTGAGAGACTGTTATGATTTCCATTCTTTTGCATTTGCTAAGGAGTGTTTTACTTCCAATTATGTGGTCAATTTTATAATAAGTGCGGTCGGGTGCTGAGAAGAATGTATATTCTGTTGATTTGGGGTAAAGAGTTCTGTAGATGTCTATTAGGTCCACTTGGTCCAGAGCTGAGTTCAAGTCCTGAATATCCTTGTTAATTTTCCGGCTCCTTGATCTGTCTAATATTGATAGTGGAGTGTTACAGTCTCCCACTATTATTGTTAGGGAGTCTAAGTCTCTTTGTAGGTCTCTAAGAACTTGCTTTATGAATCTGGGGGCTCCTGTATTGAGTGCATATATATTTAGGATATTTAGCTCTTCTTGTTGCATTGATCCCTTTACCATTATGTAATGCCCTTCTTTGTCGTTTTTGATCTCTGTTGGTTGGAAGCCTGTTTTATCAGAGACTAGAATTGCAATCCCTCCTTTTTTTTTTTTTTTCCTTTCCATTTGCATGGTAAGTATTCTTCTATCCCTTTATTTTGAGCCTATGTGTGCCTTTGCATGTGAGATGGGTCTCCCGAATACAACACACCAATGGGTCTTGACGCTATCCAATTTGCCAGTCTGTGTCTTTTAATTGGGGCAGTTAGCCTGTTTACATTTAAAGTTAATATCGTTATGTGTGCATTTGACCCTGTCATTATGATGCTAGCTCGTTATTTTGCCCATTAGTTGAGATTGTTTCTTCATACTGTCAATGGTCTTTACAATTTGGTGTGTTTTTGCAGTGGCTAGTACCAGTTTTTTTCTGTCTATATTTAGTTCTTCCTTCAGGAGCTCTTGTAAGGCAGGCCTGGTGGTGACAAAATCTCTCAGCATTCACTTGTCTGAAAAGGATTTTATTTCTCCTTCATTTATGAAGCTTAGTTTGGCTGGATATGAGATTCTGGGTTGAAAATTCTTTCTTTAAGAATGTTGAATATTGGCCCTCACTCTCTTCTGTCTTGTAGGGTTTCTGCAGAGAGACCTGCTGTTAGTCTGATGATCTTCCCTTTGTGGGTAACCTGACCTTCCTTCTGGCTTCCCATAACATTTTTTCCTTCATTTCAACCTTGGTAAATCTGATGATTATATGTCTTTCTGTTGCTCTTCTCGAGGATTACCTTTGTGGTGTTCTCTGTATTTCCTGAATTTGAATGTTGGCCTGTCTTGGTAGGTTGGGGAAGTTCTCCTGGATAATATCCTGAAGAGTGTTTTCCAACTTGCTTCCATTCTCCCTGTCACTTTCAGGTACACCAATCAAACATAGGTTTGGTCTTTGCACATAGTCCCATATTTCTCGGAAGCTATTTTCATTCCTTTTCATTTTTTTTTCTCTAATCTTGTCTTCAGGCTATATTTCATTAAGTTGATCTTTAATTTCTGATATCCTTTCTTCCACTTGATCGATTTGGCTATTGATACTTGTGTATGCTTCACGAAGTTCTCATACTGTGTTTTTCAGCTTCATCAAACTGGTTATTCTAGTTAGCAGTTCCCCTCATTTTTTTCCAGGTTCTTAGCTTCCTTGCATTGGGTTAGAACATGCTCCTTTAGCTTGCAGGAGTTTGTTATTACCCACCTCCTGAAGCCTACTTTTGTCAATTCATCAGACTCATTCTTTGTCCAGTTTTGTTCCCTTGCTGGCAAGCAATTGTGATTCTTTGAAGAAGAAGAGACATTCTGTTTTTTTGAATTTTCAGCCTTTTTGTGCTGGTTTTTCCTCATCTTTGTGGATTTATCTACCTTTGGTTTTTGATGTTGGTAACTTTCAAATGGGGTTTTTGTGTGGATGCCCTTTTTGTTGATGTTGATGCTATTCTTTTCTGTTTGTTAGTTTTCCTTCTAATAGTTAGGCCTCTCTGCTGCAGGTCTGCTGGAGTTTGCTGGAGTTCCACTCCAGACCCTGTTTGCCTGGGTATCACCAGTGGCAGCTGCAGAACAGCAAAGATTGCTGCCTCTTCCTTCCTCTGGAAGCTTCATCCCAGAGGGCCACCTGCCAGATGCCAGCTAGCACTCTCTTGTATGAGGTGTCTGTTGACCCCTGCTGGGTGGTGTCTCCCAGTCAGGAGGCATGGCGGTCAGGGACCCACTGTAGGAGGCAGTCTGTCCCTTAACAGAGCTCACTTACTGTGCTGGGAGATCTGCTGCTCTCCTCGGAGCCAGCAGGCAGGAAAGTTTAAGTCTGCTGAAGCTGCACCCACAGCCACCACTTCCTCCAGATGCTCTGTCTCAGGGAGATGTGAGTTTCATCTATAAGGCCCTGACTGGGGCTGCTGCCTTTCTTTCAGAGATACCCTGCCCAGAGAGGAGGAATCTAGAGAGGCAGTGTGACTACAGCAGCTTTGTGGAGCTGCAATTGGGTCTGCCCCATTTGAACTGCTTGGAGGCTTTGCTTACACTGTGAGGGGAAAACCACCTATTCAAGCCTTAGTAATGGTGGCTGCCCTTCCCTCCACCAAGCTCTAGTTTTATCTATAAGCCCCTGAGTGGGGCTGCTGCCTTTCTTTCAGAAGTGCCCTGCCCAGAGAGGTGGAATCTAGAGAGGCAGTCTGGCTACAGCAGCTTTGCTGAACTGCAGCGGGCTCCACTCAGTTTGACCTGCTTGGCGGCTTTGGTTACATTGTGAGGGGAAAATCACCTACTCAAGTCCTCAGTAATGGTGGATGCCCCTCCACCCACCAAGCTCTAGCATCCCAGGTCAACTTCAGACTGCTGTGCTGGCAGCGAGAATTTCAAGTTAGTGGATCTTAGGTTGCTGAGCTCTGTATTGGTGGGATTTGCTCAGCTAGACCACTTGGCTTTCTAGCTTCAGCCCCCTTTCCAGGGGAGTGAACCGTACTGTCTTGCCTTGCTGGCATTCCAGGTGACACTGGGGTATTAAAAAAATCTCCTGCAGCTAGCTTGGTGTCTGCCCAAACAGCCACCCTGTTTTGTGCTTGAAACCCAGGGTCCTGGTGGTGTAGGCACCCGAGGGAATCTCCTTGTCTGCAGGTTGTGAAGACCATGGGAAAAGTGTAGTGTCTGGGCTGGAATGCACCTTTCTTCAAGGCACAGTCCCTCATGGTTTCCCTTGGCTAAGGGAGGGAGTTCCTTGAACCCTTGCACTTCCCAGCCTGAGGCAATACCCCAGACTGCTTTTGCTCACTCTTCGTGGGTTGTACCCACTGTCTAACCAGTCCCAGTGAGATGAACCAGGTAATAACTTGCCTTCTGCATTGATCTTGCTGGGAACTGCAGGCAGGAGCTGATCCTATTCGGCCATACTGCCAGCCATCCCTCAACAGTATTTTTTAATTTGTTTATTATTGGTGGTTTCTTGTGAATATTATGCATTAATTTGGTAAATACAGGCTCTTTTATGACGGACCATAGTTCTGATTAAATGTAACCCTTATGATAAGCAGAACTTGATTTACCAAGCACATTTGATGAGCCATAATTAAAATTTTGGTAAGCAAATTAGATAAAGGAATAAGCAACTCCTCCAGAATGGTGGCTAAATAGGCTTATTTGTGCCCCACTTGTAGAGACACTTTATTTACACAATCATAGAGGCTTGTTTGTGTAATTTTTTGTTGTTGCAAAAATTTGCATTCTATTTGAAAGCATTTTAAGACAATCTGAACATTGGTATGTATAATAATATGTATCTTATTAATAAGTCACTAGGCAAAAGTGAAATGGCTTCTTTGGGCTGAGTTTGAAAAAATATTATTGTAAACAAATTCAGTTCCTGAACAACAATGATTATTAGTTTTATTTACTGCCACTAATTGCTAAAAGAGTTCCCAAATTATTGTCTTATCAAAATCATTTTCTGTTTCAGAATAGCATAACTAAATTGCAGAAAAGAGCTGATCTCCATTTTTTAATGTTAAAGAATATGAAAGTCCAACAACAAGTGAGCACACATAATATTAAGAATATCAAATATTTATGCCAAGTGGAAAAACTAATTCTGATACTTGGCCACACTTTTTATGAGCATGAAAAACATTGTTCAAAAACTTTTCTTTATGTTTCGGTTGATTTTTTTTCCAATCTGTATAGCCACCTAATTTTCACACAGAAAAATAAGTTTTGGGTTCATGGAGAAATCTCTTAGAAATGGGGGAGAGAGAGTATTAACATCAGTATTTATAAACTGATAGAAATATATGAGCTTCAGAGCTGTAGGGAAAGCTGTATTTACTCCTTCATGAAGTATCATTGCAACTAACACCTAAGTAGTATTGTGGTTTATTGATAAATGGAACAAAATGGTTTTTATGCAACAATTAACATTAATATTGACCTTATAATAAGAAGTTTTCATCTTAAAACAGTAAAAACAAAAACTCTAAAAAAAAAAGAAAAGGTACACATAGGATTAAAAAAAGGTGCACTTTCTAACCCTGAGTATGTACATTTTAGCTAAGATAAATAACTTCTTATGTTTTTTAAAGACAAAAACGTTGATAATTTTAAAAAGTTTAGTTGCATGTTGGTGACATTTTACCACATTTCATATGCATCAATTGTGCATTACATTTTTAGAAATTTTAAAACTGCCTTTTTAGTATGATAAGTTCTCTATGCTTTCAAGAGCATATGTTTTTATTAAAAATTAAATAAGGAAGAAATCTAAGTGCTTAAATAAGTTTGTTCAATCAAGAAAAGTCCTTGAACAATGAACAAGCCAAAAAAGATATCAAGAAAACAGTCTCATTCATGATAGCTATTTAAAAAAAAAAAAATTCCAGGAATAAATTTAACCAAGTAAGTTAGAAAAATTATAAGAAAAATTATGTTAATAATGCAAGAAATTGAAGAGGACACAAACAAATAAAAAGACATCCTGTGCTTATAGATTGGCAGAACTAGTATTTAAAATGAAGATACTACCCAATGCAATCTACAGATTAAATGCAATCTCTATCAAGATACAAGTAACATTCTTCACAGAAATAGAAAGAAAGTTATTAAAATTTGTATAGAACCACAAAAGACCTCACATAGCCAATACAATCCTCAGCAAATTGAACAAAGCTGGAGGTATCACACTAACAGACATCAAAATATACTACAAAGCTACAATAACCAGAATAGCATGGGACTGTCATAAAAACAGACATATAACCAATGAAACAGAATAGAGGATCCAAAAATTGATCCAAATATTGATAGCCAATTGATTTTTGACAAAGTTGCCAAGAACACTCATTGGGGAAAGCACAGTCTCTTCAATAAATGGTGCCAGGGAAACTAGATATCTATATGCAGAACAATGAAACTACACTCTCTCCTCACTCTGTACACAAATAAACTCAAACATAGATCAATGACCTAAATGTAATTCTGCAAAAGATAATATACAAGGAACTCAAATGTCTCAACAGCAAAAAAAAAAAAAAAAAACAAACAAAAAAACAGTCTGATTAAAAAATGGACAAATAATCTGAACAGATGTTTCCCAGGGGAAGATGTATGAAAGGCTAGAAAATATATGAAAAGATTCTCAGCATCACTAATCATCAGGAAGTTGCAAGTCAGGAGCACAATGAGGTATGATCTCACTCCTGTTAGGTTGGCTATTATTAAAAAGACAAAAAATAACGAGTTCTGTTGAGGATGCAGAGAAAATGAAACTGTTATACACTATTGGTGGGAATGTGGAGTGGCGTAGTGCTAAGGAGAGCATTTTGTAGGTTGCTCAGAAAACTACAAATAGGTCAAGCGCAGTGGCTCACACTTGTAATTTCTGCACTTTGGGAGGCTGAAGCAGGTGAATCACTTGAGGTCAGGAGTTTGGGACCAGCCTGGGCAACATGGAGAAACCCCATCTCTACTAAAAATACAAAAATTAGCTTGGCATGGTGGTGGGCACCTGTAATCCCAACAACTTGGGAGGCTGAGGCAAGAGAATTGATCTAACCCAGGAGGCGGAGGTTGCACTGAGCCCAGATCATGCCACTGCAAAACCAGCTCATGATTCAGCAATCCCACTACTGAAAATGCATCCAAAGTAAAGGACATCATTACATCAAAAAGATGTCTGCACCCTCATTTTTGTTCACAATGACCAAAATATGGAGTCAACATAGGTGTACAGCAAAAGATGAATAAATAAAGGACCTGTGGTATATATACACAATGGAGAGATATTCAGCCATAAGAGAGACTGAAACCCTGTCATTTGTGGCAAAATGAGTGGAACTAGAGGACGTTATGTTGGGTGACATAAGGCAGAAACAGAAAGTTAAACACCACATGTTCTCACTCATATGTGGAAGCTAAAAAAAACAAGATTTCACAGAAGTAAAAAGTAGAACAGAGAATACTAGAGGCTTTGAAGGGTGTGGGAAAGAAAGAGATAGAAAGAGTTTTGTTAAAGGAAGCAAAATTATAATGAGATAGGAGCAATAATCTGCAGTGTTCTATACCAATGTAGGATGTTAACAATAACGTATTATTTTCAAATAACTAGAAGCAGAATATTGAAAATTTCCAACACAAAGAAATAATATATATTTAAATTGATGGATATGTTAACTACACTGATCTGATCACTATACATTATATGTATCAAAATACCACTATGTACTCCATGAATATGTACAATTATTACTTGCCAATTTAAAAAGTAAATTAAAATAAAAATTAAACTTCTAAATTTTGTTTGCAAACATGTTCCCTCTATTTTCTGCTTCTTACCAAATTATTTTCACAAAAACTCTTATTCAAATTAAATCTGGAGGCTTTCTTCAGGTAGTTTCAATGAATCCTAATAAGAAACATCTTTCTGAGCTGGCAAAATGGCTGAATAGGAACACCTCCGGTCTGCAGCTTCCGACAAGATCAATGCAGAAGAGGGTGATTTCTGAATTTCCAAATGAGGTACACAGCTCGTCTCATTTGAACTGATTAGACAGTGGGTGCAGCCCACAGAGGGTGAGCAGAAGCAGGGTGGGGCATTGCCTCACCTGGGAAGTGCAAGGGGTTGGGGAACTCCCTCCCTTAACCAAGGGAAGCCGTGAGGGGTTGTGCCATGAGGAATGGTGCATTCCGGCCCAGAAACTATGCTTTTCCCACAGTCTTCACAACCCGCAGACCAGGAGATTCCCCTAAGTGCCTGCACCACCAGAGCCCTTGGTTTCAAGCACAAAACTGGGCAGCCATTTAGGCAGACAGCTAGCTACAGGAGTTTATTTTCATACCCCAGAGGCACCAGGAATGCCAATGAGACAGAACCGTTCACTCCCCTGAAAAGGAGACTGAAGCCAGGAAGCCAAGTAGTCTGCCTCAGCACATCCCACCCCCATGGAGCCCAGAAAGGTAAGATCCACTGGCTTGAAATTCTCACTGCCACCAGAGCAGTCTGAAGGTAGTTTACACTTACAGTGTAATCAAAGCTGCCTGGAAGTTTGAACTGAGAGGAGGCAACCACAGCTCAGCAAAGCTGCTGTAGCCAGACTGTCTCTCTAGATTCCTCCTCTCTGGACAGGGCATCTCTGAAAGAAAGGCAGCAGCCCCAGTCAGTGGCTTATAGATAAAACTCCCATCTCCCTGGGACAGAGCACCTGGGGTAAGGGGCGGCTGTGGGCGCAGCTTCAGCAGACTTAAACGTCCCTGCCTGCTGGCTCTGAAGAGAGCAGTGGATCTCCCAGAACAGCGCTCAAGCTCTGATAAGGGGTAGACTGCCTCCTCAAGTGGGTCCCTGACAACTGTGCCTCCTGAGTAGCAGACACCTCCCAGCTGGAATCAACAGATCCCTCATACAGGAGAGCTCCAGCTGGCATCTGGTGGGTGCCCCTCTGGAATGAAGCTTCCAGAGGAAGGAACAGGCAGCAATCTTTGCTGTTCTGCAGCCTCCACTAGTGATACCCAGGCAAACAGGGTCTGGAGTGGACCTCCAGCAAACTACAACAGACATGCAGCAGAGGGGCCTGACTGGTAGAGGGAAAATTAACAAACAGAAAGAAATGAAAGGAATAGCCTCAACATAAACAAAAAGGACATCCACACAAAAATCCCATCCAAATGTCACCAACATCAAAGACCAAAGGTAGATAAATACACAAAGATAAGGAAAAGGCAGCGCAAAAAGGCTGAAAATTCAAAAAACCAGAATGTCTCTTCTCCTTCAAAGGATCAGAACTCCTTGCCAACAAGGGAACAAAACCAGGCAGAGAATCAGTTGATGAATTGACAGAAGTAGGCCTCAGAAGGTGGGTAATAACAAACTCCTCTAAGCTAAAGGAGCATGTTCTAACCCAATTCAAGGAAACTTGATAAAACGTTAGAGGAATTGCTAACTAGAATAATCAGTTTAGAGAAGAACATAAATGACTGATGGAGCTGAAACACACAGCACGAGAACTTCATGAAGCATACACAAAGTATCGATAGCCAAATCGATCAAGTGGAAGAAAGAATATCTGAGATTGAAGACCAACTTAATGAAATAAAGCGTGAAGACAAGAATAGAGAAAAAAGAATGAAAGGGAATGAACAAAGCCTCCAAGAAATATGGGACTATGTGAAAAGAACAAACCTGTGTTTGACTGGTGTACCTAAAAGTGACAGGGAGAATGGAAGCAAGTTGGAAAACACTTTATAGAATATTATCCAGGAGAACTTCCCCGACCTACCAAGACAGGCTAACATTCAAATTCAGGAAATACAGAGAACACAACAAAGATACTCCTCGAGAAAAGCAACCCCAAGACATATAATTGTCAGATTCAGCAAGGTTGAAATGCAGGAAAAAATGTTAAGGGCAGCCAGAGAGAAAGGTCGGGTTACCCTCAAAGGGAAGCCCATCAGACTAACAGTGGATCTCCTGTCAGAAACTGTACAAGCCAGGAGAGTGGGGGCCATTACTTGACATTCTTAAAGAAAAGAATGTTCAACCCAGAATCTCATATCCAGCCAAACTAAGCTTCATAAATGAAGGAGAAATAAAATCCTTTACAGACAAGCAAATGCTGAGAGATTTTGTCACTACCAGGCCTGCCTTACAAGAGCTCCTGAAGGAAGCACTAAATATGGAAAGAAAAAACTGGTACCAGCCACTGCAAAAACATATCAAATTGTAAAGATCATCGACACTATGAAGAAACTGCATCAACTAATGGGCAAAATAACCAGCTAGCATCATAATGACAGGATCAAATTCACACATAACAATATTAACCTTAAATGTAAACAGGCTACATGCCCCAATTAAGATACAGACTTGCAAACTGGATAAAGAGTCAAGACCCATTGGTGTGCTGTATTCAGGAGACCCATCTCACATGCAAAGACACACATAGGCTCAAAATAAAGGGATGGAAGAATATTTACCAAGCAAATGGAAAGCAAAAAAAAAAAAAGCAGGGGTTACAAATCTAGTCTCTGATAAAACAGACTTTAAACCAACAAAGATCAAAAGAGACAAAGAAGGGCATTATGTAATGGTAAAGGGATCAATGCAACAAGAAGAGCTAAATATCCTAAATATGTACGCACCCAATACAGGAGCCCCCAGATTTGTAAAGCAAGTTCTTAGAGACCTACAAAGAGACTTAGACTCCCTCACAATAATAGTGGGAGACTCTAACACCCCATTGTCGAAAATCAACAAAGATATTCAAGACTTGAACTCAGCTCTGGACCAAGTGGACCTAATAGACATCTAGAGAACTCTCCACCGCAAATCAACAGAATAAACGTTCTTCTCATCACCACATCACACTTATTGTAAAATTGACCTCATAATTGGAAGCAAAACACTCCTCAGCAAATGCAAAAGAATGGAAATCATAACAAACAGTCTCTCAGACCACAGTGCAATCTAATTAGAATTCATGATTAAGAAATTCACTCAAAACTGCACAACAACATGGAAACTGAACAACCTGCTCCTGAATGACTACTGGGTACATAACAAAATTAAGGCAGAAATAAATAAGTTATTTGAAACCAATGAGAACAAAGACACAATGTACCAGAATCTCTGGGACACAGCTAAAGCAGTGTTTACAGGAAAATTTATAGCACTAAATACCCACAGGAAAAAGTGAGAAAGATCTAAAATTGACACTCTAACATCACAATTGAAAGAAATGGAGAAGCAAGAGCAAACAAATTGAAAAGCTAGAAGAAGACAAGAAATAACTGAGATCAGAGAAGAACCGAAGGAGACAGAGACAAGAAAAACCATTTGGGATTATGTTAAATGACCAAACCCAAGAATATTTGGTGTTCCCAAGGAAGAAAAGAAGTCTAAAAATTTGGAAAACATATTTGAGTATGATGGTTGTTCTTAATTCATTAACTAAAAAGACTCTATGGAATCCATTTCCACCAGAATCACACTAAGGATTAATATCATTCAACAATTTTATTTATGTCTTATATAATGGAATAGACAACTGGATATTTTAAGAGAATTTTTGGAAATGAAAATATTTAATAATAAAGACATTAAAGAAAGTTTGAGCTTTAGACTCCATCATAAACTATCAGTTTCACTTTAGCCAACACATTGTTGTCACATCTTTCTACATGTGCATATTTGAGTATTCAGCATTTTGCCATATGGTTATAAGAATATTCATGAAATACTTTGGGAATTTTTAATGTTTGAAAGGAAGAGGTTTGGTCTATATTTGCACATCTGGCCTTTTTTAAATGTTCTATTTATTTCAAAGAGCAAATATTTTTCAAGCAGCATGGAATATAAGATATTCTAAAAGTCTCTGCAACTAAAAATGAAGCACATCCTGGGTGAATGATCACTGGTATGTACTTTATTTCTGAGCTCCTTATATATTAGAAAAATCTCTACAAGGAGGGACATGAAAGCCCATCTGAAACTAGAATAGGAATGTATGAACTATATAAGAAAATACAGGGCCAGGCACAATGGCTCATGCCTGTAATCCCAGAGGGTGGATCACCTGAGGTCAGGAGTTCAAGACCACCCTGGCCAACATGGCAAAACCCCATCTCTACTAAAAATACAAAAAAAACAAATAAATCAAAGAACTAGTTATCTGAAATAACCACACAAAGAAAGAAAAACATATTTAGATGACCAAAAACTTCAGATTTAAGTAATATCACATACAGAACATAACCTAGCTATGTTTGAAAAAGCTAATAAAATAAATGAATGAATGATGAAATAAAAAAATGAACAAGGAAAAAGAGACCAACAAGGGCAGAAAAATTGGGAAAACAATAGAATTTCTAGAAATGAAAAGTATTCTGATTGGGATAAGATCTCTGTGGAAAAAAATAAAATATCAATTGATGGTTTAAATATTAGTAGATATTAATTATCTACTAATAATTAAATAGATAGACATTTAATTATCTAGATAGATTAAATATCTAGATAGATTAGTAGATTAAATATCTAGATAGATAGATATCTTTAGATATATATCTTGGCCAGGCACAGTGGCTCACACCTGTAATCCCACCACTTAGGGAGACCAAGGCGGACAAATCACCTGAGGTTGGAAGTTTGAGACCAGCCTGACCAACATGGAGAAACCCCGTCTCTACTAAAAATACAAAATTAACCGGGCATGGTGGCACATGCCTGAATCCCAGCTACTCGGGAGGCTGAGGTAGGAGAATGGCTTGAACCCGGGAGGCGGAGGTTGCAGTGAGTGGATATCGCGCCATTGCACTCCAGCCTGGGCAGCAAGAGTGAAACTCCGACTCAAAAAAAAAAAGAAGATTATATATATCCAGACTGCAGCACAAAAATATATGGGGATGGAATGTAAGAAAGCCAGGTTAAAAGTAATGACAGTAATGAGAAAGTGTCAATGTACAATTACGTGTCATTTAATGATAGGGATACACTCTGAGAAATGCATCATTAGGAGATTTCATCATTGTGCAAACATTATTGTACTTACATAAACCTAGATGTTATATAGTCTAGTGTATAACTAGCCTACATGGTATGGCCTATTGTCCTAGACTACAGACCTGAACAGTGTGTTACTCTACTGAATACTATAGGCAATTGGAAAACATTGGTAAGAAGTATTTGTGTTTCTAAACATATCTAAACATATGAAAGTTACAGTAAAAATATGGTATTATGATTTTATGGGACCACCTTTGCATATGAGGTCCATCATTGGCTGAAATACTGTTATGTGGCCCATGACTGTAAATCTAAAGAGAGTAACAGTAGAAGATAATAGAAAAAAAAAATGGAGAAGAAATATTAAAAGCAATACTGGTTGCGAATTTTCCAGAATCCAAAAGAAACTTAAATATACAGATGTGTAAGGCAATAAATAAAAAAACAGTTTAAAGAAACTTTTACACACGTCCTGGACAAATGAAGTGTAAATGAATGAAGAAATCATGTGGGGAGCAAAAATAACCATAAATTTAAGCTTGCGTGCATTGGTCAACCAGTACCAAATATTTGCAGCCAATGTCATTTCTGTTTGAACCAATATTGTTCCTCATTGATCAAGGCCCATGTCATACCACTTTATGAAGGAAAGAAAGGAAGGAAGTAGAGAGGGATATTAGGAGAGAGTGAGGGAGAAAAGGAGGGAAGGAATGAAGGAAGACAGGGAGGGAGGGAGGGAGGGAAAAAGAAAAGGAAAGGTAAGAAAGAAAAGAAAAAAAGTGTTTAAAACTTGAGAAAAAATGTCCACAATCACTGCGGCAGCAAAGAGGGTGTGAGGCAGAGGTCGTGAACTGAGTCTGAAAATACTCTATCACAAAAATCAACTTTATTTTAATAATTAGATTAAGAATGACATCAAAACTGTGAATGAAGAATATCAGCATGGAGATAGCCCATCTCTTACAAACCTGATACCGGTAATACACCACTTCCACTTTCACGAAAGACATAGTGCTATGTTTCACTAAACCCCTACTTTTTTTTTTTTTTTTTGAGATGGAGTCTCGCTCTGTCACCCAGGCTGGAGTGCAGTGGTGCCATCTCAGCTCACTGCAAACTCCAGATCCCGAGTTCAAGCGATTCTCCTGCCTTAGCCTCCCAAGTAGCTGTGATTACAGGCTTCCGCCATCACACCAGGCTAATTTTTGTATTTTTAGCAGAGACGGGGTTTCGTCATGTTGGCCAGGCTGGTCTCAAACTGCTGACCTCAGGTGATCCCCCCCGCCTCAGACTCCCAAAGTGCTGGTATTACAAGCATGAGCCATTGCGCCCGGCCTTACCCCCTACTATTTTTAACATAGTACCTCACATGGCTTTTGCCAATCAGTTTTGGTACTTGAAATGTTCCTTAGTAAAGATTCTAGATGTAGATAATGATAAAATTAAATCAGTATTTAACAAGATTTATGGGAATAGGCTAAAGCTATCATTAGATTAAATTCATAACCTTATAAATGATATTCCCCCCAAAACAGAATAAATGCATGATGAAACTAATGCAAGAAATTTAAAAAAAAATCAATTCATAATTAAGGAGAGAAGTAGGAAGACATTAATGAATTAGAAAATAGAAAATAAATAAAATTATAAAAGAGAGAAATGCTTTATTAAAATACACAACATATAATCTCTTAATGTCCTAAGATACAAATAAAAAAATATGAGAACAATGTATAAATACAGAAATAGTGGAAATTTAAATTATTCATTCGAACAACACTGTGAATTAATGAATTAAACCACTTAGAGCAAAAAAGAGAAAAAATAAACTAAATGGAAAAGAATAAACACATTGACAATATGTCACTTTACCCCACAAATACAGGGTAGACCCAGATGTTAACATAAGACTATTCTTAAAATTACTAAGGAATAGATAATGTCTATGCTATTTAAACTATTCCACAACACATAGTTGAATGACATCTTCTCATCCTATTTTACTTTAATTCTGTATAAAAAAACCTTGATGATGAAAGCAAAAAATGAGAAAATAAGCCACATAAAATCTCAAAAATATTAATGCAAATATGGTCTAGAATACATTAAGAGACGTGTAAATAAATCTTACCAGCCAGAAAATGTATAATTTAACAAATATGATTGAGAATATATCAAAGGACAAAACAACATAACTGGCCATATTAATCAGCCAGTTATCAAAAAATACCTTGACATTAAAAGGGCTTTTTAAATGAGAATGTGAATAATAGAAATGTAAAATGGCATGGCATGTTGTCAAAGACTAAAGAAAAATAGAAATAATTAGTGTCGGTCAAGAAATGTGAAGCGTAAATTTATATACCCGAAAACATTTTAGTATAATAGTATTTAAAATTGGGTTAGATTTGAGCAAGCAATACTCTTCAAGGAATTTATATTAGTGGTCATTGATCACATATGAAAATATCTATATGCCAAAAATGGCCACAGAAAAAAATAATAGAAAAAAGATAAGAGCCTAAGCATCTATTGGTAATCATTGAAAAGAGATTTAGAATATATATATATATCTGTATAGCTATGAAAACTATAGGCTTTAAAAATAATAAAATAGATTTGTGTTACTGATATCTAAGTTATATACCAAAAATAATTTAATGCTTAAAGGCAAAATGCATGACAGTTTGTGTAGTGTGAAGCTATTAATATAAAATTGCACTTGGGTATCTCTGTAGAGGAAGAAAATATGTAGATAGATAGGGACGGAGAAAGAGAGAGAGAGATTAATATCAATTGATATTTAGAACTATATTTTCCAAAGTGTTTTTAGTAGTTACTCTAGGTGCTAGAAGTTAGGGGGATTTTTGTTTTCTTCATTATGTTTTTCCGTATTAAATTTTTATAATGAACATATATTAATAGTACACTAAAATGTCTGGTCTATATTGTGCAGCTAAATTGTTTTTTTCTCAGAGGATACTTGGGTAAACGGAGGGCAAATTCTTTGAAGCTTCATATCTTCTTTGTTCTATAACTTCCATACCATATAACACTGTAATTTTGGGGTGTTCAATAAATAGTCACTGAACAGTCATGGTACACAAAGAATAGCTCCAAATGATTGCTAAAACCCCCAAAAGCTGAACTAGAATTCAGAGTGATCCTAAACATTAGTAATGTATTTTTTCCAAATAAGACTGACCTCTGAAATGACATACAAAATAAAATGAATAATAATAAAATGAAAAACACTATCATTTACATAAAATATAAATTAACATACTTAGATATAATAGCAGATAAATTAAATGTACAAATATGTTTTTAAAAGCTAAATAGAAGAAAGTATATATGGAAGTCTGAAAGAGAGCCTCATCCTCAACATACATACACACAAACACACACAAAAACACAAACAAATTTTTTTTTATAAAAGTTTAAGATGTCTAGCCGGGCGCAGTGGCTCACGCCTGTAATCCCAGCACTTTGGGAAGCCGAGGCGGGCAGATCACCTGAGGTCAGGAGTTTGAGACCAGCCTGATCAACATGGGGAAACACCGTCTCTACTAAAAATACAAAATTAGCCGGGCGTGGTGGCACATGCCTGTAATCCCAGCTACTCGGGAGGCTGAGAGGCAGAAGAATCGCTTGAACCCGGGAGGCGGAGATTGCGGTGAGCCGAGATCGCGTCATTGCACTCCAGCCTGGGCAACAAGAGCGAAACTGCATCTCAAAAAAAAAAAAAAAAAAGTTTAAGATGTCTAAGAACCTTGTTTTCCTTAAAGAAACAAAGCTGAACTAAGAAGCTAGTATTTGCGTTATTCATTTAATATCTGCCAAGATGGCTAATATAATCTTCAGATCTTCAAATAGTACGTAGACTAAAAAACAAAAAATATCAAGTTTATTACCTGTAATGAGAAAATTGTCACTGTTTTCTCTATTTATTCTAATTCTTCTTTCAAAGCATGTTTTTTCAAATCAGTATTTAATTTTAAAACTAATTCATATTCTGAGGATAGGAAAGAGGAAATTTAGTCCTTAGAGGTCTTAATGTAATATGATTATAAATTTATATTTTCAATTTTTAAAATTAAAAATATTAAATTAAAAAAATATTGCTCCGATGTATATTTATGTTTATATGATTTTCAGTATTTAATTTTAAAACTAATTCATATTCTGAGGATAGGAAAGAGGAAATTTAGTCCTTAGAGTTTCTTAATGTAATATGATTATAAGTTTATATTTTCAATTTTTAAAATTAAAAATATTAATATTGCTCCAATGTATATTTATGTTTATATGATTTTCAGTTTAGTTGTTAGTTATGCATCTTATAGCTTAAAACATGTGAAGATTCTGAAATGGAAGCAAAGAAGTAATTTATGTCATTAGGCATGTAAAAATTATTCAGAGAATTATAACTAGCTAGTACACACATTGATCAAAGAAAGAAGAAGAAGAAAGAAGTTTCAGATGTCACTTATAAAATTTAGGGTGGATATAAGAAAGTATTTTATTTATGTGTTTAATTTTTGTGGATACATAGTAGATATATATATTTATGGGATACATGAGATATGATACAGGCATACAATGCATAATAATTACACCAGAGAAAATGGAATATTCATCAACTCAAGCATTTATCCTTTGTGTTACAAAAAATCTAATTATACTCTTAGTTATTTTAAAATGTACAATTAATTTTTTACCATATTCACCGTGTTATGCTACCAAATACTAGGACTTATTTATTATTTCTAACTATTTTTGTATCCGTTAATCATTCTCACTTATCCTCCACCCTCCCACTACCCTTCATAGCTTCTAGTAATCATCTTTCTACTCTGTATCTCCATGAGTTCGATTGTTTTGAGTTTTAGATCCCACAAATAAGTGAAAACATGTAATATTTGTCTTTCTGTGCCTGGCTTATTTCACTTAGCATAATGACCTCCAGTTCCATCCATGCTATTGCAAATGACAGGATCTCATTTTTTTGTAATGGCTAAATAGCACTTCATTGTGTATACATAACGCATTTTCTTTATTCATTCATCTGTTGATGGATATAGGTTGCTTCCAAATCTTGGCTATTGTAAATCATGCTGGAATAAATGTGAGAGCCCAGATATCTCCTCAACATACTGATTTCCTTTCTTTTGAGTATATACCTAGGAGTGGGATTGCTGGATTGTATGGCAGCTCTTTTTAGTTTTCTGCTTAACCTCCACACTGTTCTCCACAGTGATTGTACTAACTGTAATTCCCACCAACAGATAAAGGTGATTAAAAACAAATAAAAATGGATTTTTACAGGGTTTTTGAATAAAACAGAATATATTTTTTCATTTTTTCTTTTTTTTTAAATTTTATTTAATACATTTTTAAGCCACAGAAAAAATGTAGAAAGTGTACATCTTTCACCCAGTTTCACCATTTTGCTTGATTTCTTTCTTTCTCCTTTGTATATTTGTGCATGCATGTATTTGTGACTCTGTGTGGGCTTAAATATATAAATATATGTAAGTATATATAATTAATATATTATATATGAAAGTATATATAACTTATATAATTATTTTTTCTCAAGCCATTGAGAGTAATTTGCAACTTTCATGACACTTTATCCCTAATACTGCTAGCATCTGTCTTCTAAGAGCAAGGATATTGTTTTACATAACTATTATACAATTTCAAATAAAGAAAATTTAAACATAGTATAAGGTATTGGCAACTCGACAGTTTATAAAAATTTCACTGATTTTTCCCAATAATATATTTAAAATATGATTTTTTTAATTCATGAGTCAATTCAGGATTGAGCATTGCATTTAGTTGTCATGCTTTCTTTTGTCTCTGTTAATTTAGAAGACTTCTCCAAACATTTTCTTTCTCATGGCATTAACATTTTTAAAAAATTCAGAGCTGTTTTGTAAATTGCTCTCACTTTTGATTTGTCTGATTGTTTTCTCATGATTAGAGTGAGCTTGTGTGTTTTTAGCCAGAACCTCAGAGAAGTCATGTATATTTTCCTCATGGCATCACATCATGAGGCACAGGATGTCAATTTGTTCTAATACTGATTTTAATACTGATTAACTTTTACCACTTCATTGCAGTTGTGTCTATTATATTTCTCCCACTGTAATGGAATCTCTTCCTCCCCTTTGTAATTGGTAAATAATCTCTGGAAAAATCCCTAAATTATATACCCCTTATTTAACCTAGAGAATGGTTACTTTTAGAAATAGTAAGCTCCACGTGCCATAGTCTAGAAAAAACTAAATCAAAGAGTGTTCCATACATAAGATGATCTTAAAAATTGAGAAACCTCATGTTTCCATTGGAATAGATAACACCTTGGAATATATAATATCAACAAAAACGTATGAAAATATCCCAGTGCAAAAGCAGGAAAAATTTGCTACAAATATGTTACATGAACATATACAAAATGCTATGGACTGGAAAAGTCCCAAGTTATTCTTCAAGAAAGGATCCTGTGAGTTCTGAATAATATAATTTCCATATAATAGAGATCTAGCTAGTGAATATTCCAGCTAGTGTAATAAACTCCCTTATATTTTCTTAGAGAGATAAAATATGAACGAGCAGAAAAGAGAAAGTGTGGTTTCTTCAGATATTAAGAATATTTGAAAAGTTTCTGTGTAAGAAGTTATTAAAAATGAGTCAGCATGGAAATTTAAAAACAAGATATTTGAGTTTATCCTCATATTTGCTTCAAGAGCCGAAAATCGACAGGAGTATTAATAGAGCAATTAGTTAGTGAGAAAGATGACAGTGGTAGCCACAGGGGATTGGTTACACAGAGGAGGAGTAACTAGGTAAGTAAATATATTTACATGACCCTTATTTCTCCTTGCTGAAAAAGAGAATTAGAAATAAGAAAAGAGATAATATTAGACTGAACCCTGTGGTGGTGAGGTTTGGGATTGAATTAGCATCCAGATATCAGTTTCAAAACACCATTTTCCTCTAAAAAGAAACAGAATTTCTTGGAGCAAGGATAATTCTAGATCTGGGGCACGGAGAGCACAAGAAAATCCTCATACATATTCTGATTCTGGTAAAGAAGGACATGCTTAAGAAATGATGGGGATGTATCAAAAGGATATTGGAGGCAGTTTAAAGGGTCTCCTACTGCTGAATCAGACAATTTGAGCATTAAAATAAATAATTATTGTAGCATATTATAACCCACTAAATAAATTACAAAATTATGAAACCATAACTATATAAATTAATAAAGAATAAATCAAACATTAGATAAAGAATGGGATATTTACATCCATTAAATTATTAAAATACTTTATGATTACAAAGAGGTAAAAACACAAAGTTTACAGTGGAGAAGTCTTGTGAATACTCTATTAAATGATCAAAATAAACATCATTAGTGATAAAACTAATTAAAATGGCATGCCACCTCATTGATCACAGTAAAAAGAAAACAATATTTCTCCCAGGATAATGCTACAAAAGATACATGGCCTGAATCAAATTATAAGAAACCATCAAATAAACCCAAATCGAGAGACAAACTACAATGTAACTTGTCTGTACTTTTCCATAGTGCCAAGATCATGAAAACCAAAGAAGGAGAATAAGGAAATATGATAAATAAAGTGAATGTGTATATTCTGAAACGAATCATTTCACTAGAAAGGGTGTTATTTGGACATTTGACACAACTTCAATGGGGTCTGATGATTAGCTGTTAGGATTGTGTTTAGGTTAATTTCCCAATGTTGATAGTTGTACTGTGATCCATTGTCCTTGTTGATAGGAAATCTGCACAAAACAAGAGCTGGGGTTCATGGGGCATCATCAGTCAGCATTTCACTCTCAAATAGATTATAGAAAAAGTTATTTGTACTATACTTGCAAATTTTCTTTAAGCTTCAGGTTGTTTCATAATTTTAAAAAAGCACAAGACATCTATCTGAATAGATCATATTTTCCTTATTTAAACACTTTTGGCAAATTATTGCAATCATTTTTGTTGCTTATTTTATTTCAGTATGTGAAGAAGAAAAGGATAAACATGCATTTTAAGAATGCAATAAAGGTTTCAGACAGGAGTATAGTTTGAATATTCAATGTACAGCTCTAAGATTAAAATAAGCATGGAAACTTTTGGTTAAGTAAGCTTGATGGGTGCCCAAAAATAGTCTCAAGAGGATAATTTGACCAAAAGATAACTTACTGAAAACTTCCAGGCAAATTTTTTTTTAAAAAATGAAAGATATTTTTAAGTTGATAATTTATACACTATCCCTATTAAAATAATATAGAATAAAGTAAATTAAGCCATTTTGATTTATCTTCCTCCCTCTGCCTTTTCTGTTCTTATTGTTATAATAAATTCTGGTTCTTATCATTACAATATTCAAATGTCCCAGCACTAGTACAGTATGTAGCAGAAAGGCAGTTTTCATATTTTCTCCTAGAGGTTGTGAGAACATGCAAATGAATGATGTGTGAATTGCATGTATTTATGTAAGCCGTCTTACATCCCCTCTGAAAAAATATTGGATCAAAATTACAAAAGCAAATATATTAACAAATAAAGAAAGAAACTTTGGAGATGCCTGGTACATAAATATTTTATTAAGACTAATGTCAAGCAAAGATATTGGAAAAGAATAAAGGAACATAGCATATAACCTGCTAAAACAGAAGGATCAAATCAGAATATATTTCAGTGGGCTCAAATCTCAGAGATTTAGCTTATCTAAAAGAAATATGGGGATTCACAGAAAAGCTGGAACATTTGATTTCACACTGAAATTGCAAAAAAAAAAAATGTAGAAAAGTGATAGCTTTGGACATAACTGAATCTATAAGGAAACAACAATTATATAGTTATATATAGTGACTATACATGGGAGTTAGAAAATAATAAATAAGAAAAGCAATGCAGATTATAATTATAAAGAAGGATGAAAACACTAAATCAGAACTAATTGCTTTTTTTTTTTTTCTTTTTTTTAAGATGGAGTCTCGCTCTGTCGGCCAGGCTGGAGTGGCGATCTCGGCTCACTGCAAGCTCCGCTTCCCGGAGCTTGCCATTTTCCTGC